>NC_000007.14:40240242-40543272 GCF_000001405.40 Homo sapiens | reverse complement strand
TTTAAATGTTAACATGTAAAATCATATTTTCAGCAGGATGATCTCTGCTTCCTACAGCAGGTGCTGGAAGCCCAATCCCAGATGTTTTGAAGTGTAAATAGCAAGGGAGGAATTTGAGAAATGGGTAGAGATGCCAGAAAAAGGAAGGCATAAATTAAAAACAGACGTATTGAAACATTAGTTCACATGGACATTTTGGCTTTTGTTGTTCACTGGTGGGCTTCTATACTTAGCTATTTCTCGTGTCACAAATGTCACTTTCTAAGACACAGCCATAGCAATTGGCCTAAATGTTCACCTAGCCGATGAAGCAAATTCTATTCCTACATTGACCAGAAAGACATGTCTGACATTCCTTTTCAGAATGCTTGAGACTCATAATCCTACCTTATAGATATGGCCATTTCCCCCATGTTTAACTACATAGAAGCTCGGAGTTTAACTATATCGAATCAGTGTCATAAACAGGGTTCCCTAAAGCTTGAGCCTCAGTCTTTGCAGTCGAAAGGCCCATTCTGCCCCTTTTGTTCTTACCCATTTGTTACTTGAAGGGATTTCAGAATACATAGCTCTAACAGAGTTAAAAGGGTGCTTATAAATGTTTTCTCCTTATTTAGCTTGATGTTGGCACAGCCACTCCATCATTTCAATGAGACACACATGAGCAAAAAGGCCTTTATTATATAGGCAGGCCTTTATAATATGGGCAGCTTCCTTCTCAAATATCCTTTTTTGCTATCAAACTAATCAGTACTATGGGATAATTAAATCCATACCTAGTGTAAGGCTGAGTTTTCACTACTTTAACCACATCATCGCCAAGACCCTCTGCATCTACATTGACAGGGATACAGAGAACAGCCCTGTTTTTCAAAAGTGTGAGGTATCCCTGGAGAAAGGGAGTAGAGCTATACCCGGCTGTTCCTCATGACTCTAGGATTTGCAGGACCTGTGGCTGAAAAGTTATTTACCTCTTTGAGACATGGTTTACTCATCTGTGAGGTGGATGATGATGATGATGATGATGACGATGGTTATGATTACATTGTCTATGTCATATGGCCTTTGTGAGGATGAATTAGATACTATGCATAAAGTATTCAGGCCAATGCCTGACACATAGTGCTAAATAACTGTTCATTATCTTTACTTTGCTTCACACATACCCTCTGCTCCAACCAAAGTGAACTCCTCTCTTTTAAATGATCCTTGCCCCTTGCCACTGTATTGCCAAGCACTTGCTGGTCCTGACCCTCCTCCCTGGTGGAAGGCTTTCTTCATATATTCCACTATCTCCTACCTGTGACAGCTCCCTGTCCTCCCCAGTATCTGTTTAAAATTTTACCCATTCTTCAAGATACACCTCAAATGCCACCCGCTCCATGAAATATATCCTAAACTCTTCAAGTTGTGACTTCTCTGAATCTCCAGGATTTTGTTTTTTCTAGTTTACAGGTGTGAATTTAGCATACTCCTTATTTAATGGAACATTATAATTATTGGTTCATGAATAGTCCCTCTGTTATATTTACATTCCTTTGTAATCCCAATCCAATCTCTAGACTCTTCTTCCCACAGGAAACTACTCTAATATATTTCATGTAACTTTTGAAAAATATGTACTGTATTATACATTCATTCTCATTTATATTACTGGATTCTGTGATAGAGCTCTTGCTCCTTTCTTGATTGCACCATGCTGGTTTTTACAATCCTTCCAAGTTTCCACAGGAATTTCTAATTATTGCATAATGCTTACTGCCCACACTTTTGACAATCAACTACTGCTCACCAGAAATGAATATGTTCATATCTGACCAATATAGACCTGTTTGAGGATTTTCTTAATCTATATGTCAAAGAGAAGAATTGCAGGGTCACAGGAATAGGTAATCTTATTGCCTAAGTAATGACAAACCGTTCTCTAGAATGTCTGCGCCATTATGCAATATCAACAGCAGTCCATGTTGGCCCCCACATCTCTACATTTCTGCCATTACTTGGCTCTCTCTGGTTTTCTAACTCTTGCCACTTTATTTATTGTCACTTTAGTGACATCTTATTATTGCTTTCATTTGTATCTCTCTCCTTACTAATGCATTTAATCTTCATGGGTCTATTTTTCTTGGCCATTTAGCTTATAGAGCCTGGAGGGCATTTTTAAATTAAAATGCTTATCTTTCCTCTTCACCCACTGCCAAATTATCAATTCCTTTAAGGTATAGGGTATTTTTCCTTCATTTTTGCACTCACTGTAACACCTACCATGGCACCTGAAACAACAAATAAAACATAAACACAAAAATAACGGAAGGAATGGAAGTATAAGTGGATGAGAACAGTTACATATTGCTCTTACTGCTCTCTTCTTGCCAAACCCATGACTTCCCTTGGCCAGCTGAACTGAAAATAGCAGCATCCATTTAATATCTCAAATACCATAAAGGAGGGAAGGAAGAAGGTGTTAATGCACAGAATTCTAAAGTTCTACTGCGACATACACAATCAGTCTCCTCGGTCCCATGTGCAGGGACACTCACTTCATTATTCACTTTTATGGACCAAATGGAAGTCAGCCTGGCAGTTCTGCCTTGGCAACTTCCAAAGCTCTGCTTTTCAATACAGGTATACAGCCTGGTGTAAGAAAACTGCCCTGTTTGCCAACATTAATATACCCCAGAGAGTAAGTAGGCATTTACCTAGCAGCCAGTGCAGGAAGCTGTATTTTCTGTAACTTTCCTGGTAAGGACAGAGTGACAATGGTCTTACACCTAATTAACTCTACCATCATGGCAACTTCCTTGATGTGTATCATAAAAGCTGTCCAGCCACATGGCATGGTAACTAGAAATAAGGGTTTTGGACTTGGGCAGACCTGTTTAGAATTTTGGCTCTGCAATATACCAGCTGTTACTATTTTGTTTCTCATCTGCAAAATGTGGACAATGGTCCTTACCTTACAGAGCTATTGTAATAAATAAATGAAATGATAAAGTACTTGGTAAATGATAGTTATTTTATTATTCCCATTATTCTCCACCCTATTCCATATTATCAAGATTACAGCAATAAATAAAAGGATGCTGCTAATATATAAAATAAGTATTGAAAAGACATGCCTATACTTATGATAAATGAGTAAGTGGAAGATTTTCCTTGCAAAATTGAACTGTAGTTTCTGTAGTGACAAAAACATTTTAAACATTTGGTTCTATGTTTTAGTCCCAACTATACCACTTATTTCTGTGTGAGTTCAAGCAAGTCTCTTGACCTCAAACCAGTAGGAAAACCAGTATATAGGGATAATGTTATCTACTCCCCAGATATACTATAAAAATTTGATGTGATTATAAATGTGAATGCACTTCAAGACCTGGAAAATAGCAGAAACATGTTAAATATCACTGATATCCATAGTTTGATAGCACCTTGGTTACTACTGGTATTTAGTTAGTATTGGAAACAATAACATATTCTTAACATAATTCCAAATGTCAAACGCATTTTTCTAGGGATAAAATGATGTTGGCAAAATTTTTTACTTTGTACAATATCATTAAGAGATTTCCACCTTTTATTCAATATTCTAGGAATCAGAAGATTCTCCCTAACATTGGAGTCCAAAGAAGAGGAGCCACCATCTCCTTAACTACAAAACAACTGAGAGAAGAAATGTCTCCCTTTAGTGCCAGTGAAGAGTTTTGCTTCTCTAGAACAACTGTTTATTTTTGATCTTATGAAACGCGTGACACTTGTAACTGATTTGCCTTCTTTTTGCTTGCTGCTAGAAATCTCAGAACCAAATTCGAGGTCATTTCTGAATGTGCTGGACTACACAGCATGAATTCTGTGTCCTCTCACCTCATTCATAGATACATTTTTTTATTCCTACCCATCTTTTCCTTTCCCCAGATTTTCCTATTGCTCTTTTATCATCTTGAGTAAAGAAGGTTAAACTATGAATAAAAAGTACAATCTCAATGACGAGTCAGGGAAAAGTAAGTTTTGGACTTCCATTTAGAGCCATTTATAGGTCAGCAATCTTTTGTCTCTGTGTCTTCTTTCTGCCCTGAACAACCAAGGCATCCTAGTCAGTCTCTCTTCATCTGCATACCACTTTAAAGAGCCCAGGGGTCTTCCAAGTACAGTCACTACTAAGAAAATGTCTTCAGTAAATTTTTTTTTTTTTTTTTTGAGATGGAGTCTCGCTCTGTCGCCCAGGCTGGAATGTAGTGGCACGATCTCAGCTCACTGCAAGCTCTGCCTCCCGGGTTCACGCCATCCTCCTGCCTCAGCCTCCCAAGTAGCTGAGACTACAGGCACCTGCCACCATGCCCGGCTAATTTTTTTTGTATTTTTAGTAGAGACGGGGTTTCACTGTATTAGCCAGGATGGTCTTAATCTCCTGACCTCATGATCCGCCCGCCTCGGCCTCCCAAAGTGCTGGGATTACAGGCGTGAGCCCCCGCGCCCAGCCTTCAGTAAAATTTTAATGCATGTTGCTTATCATTCTTTGTATTGTAAGCACCAATCCTTAATCTGTGCTGTGGTTTTTGTTCAGAAACATTTCTTTAAAAAAATTTCCCCAGACGCTCAGCCTTCATATTCTAATCTTTATTATTCTGAACTACCTACAAAGCTAAATATACCTTGTCTACATGCAGTGCTTATGTAACAATGGTGCTTATTTTGTTTTACATTGCTTCAACCTCTGACCAGAAACTTAGAGGACAGAATGCCCTGCTTTTACAAAAAATGTGGTGACCACAACGGTAACCTTATCTAATTGAGACCATTTTAGGAAGGAGGGGAGGAGATATTTTTACTGCAAAGACTGAGTCATAAGCCTTCATTTTTTACCCTGGGTTGTGCAGAAACTTTAAACTTTCTATATTATTTCATTTCTTCCATACCAGGACATTTATTTCCTATTCAGTGACAATCTTGATGTCTTCATCCTTCAAACTGCTCTCTAACATAGTTTCAAAATCCAAGCATTAAACATTATTAATGCTCAGGGGATGAATATGTTCATTACCTTTACTGTAGTGATGATTTCCTATGGCAAAATGTTAAATGATGTAAAGATAAAAATAATTATCATAGTTATTAATCATAGCAATAAAACTGGACTACCTAAAGCACAGTTTATGGTATAATATTTATGAATTAAGAGCAACACAAATAATAATGTTAATTGCTCACCTACAGATGAATGCAAATGAGGATATAACAGAGTCGAAATAAACTAAGCAAAGGAAACAATGTTTCATAGCTATCGTGTTCATTATTCTAACCAAAAAAAAGAACACAGAAATCAGATATATGCAATAGGGTACACTGAAATGATTCTCAATGATTATATAAAACATATATACATTATTTTCTCAACTTCCTGAAACATCAATTCTCTTGCTCATAATGTAGTTAAATCGTCTAAGATTAGCCTCATGTGACCATGTTTGGACTTCTTAAAAAAATCGCTTCAGGAACATTACATTTTCATGATCAGATAGTTTCCTGAAAGTATTAAACAAAACTAGGAAAAGTGTTTAATAGTTATTTGGATTACATTTCATTAAAAATCTTTACGATCTCTGTTAACAGTCCAGTACATTTGAATGTTAAGGAGGACCCTGCACTGAAGGTTTTATAATGCTTTATCTATTCCAAGTTATACAACACAAAAATTTTCTCAAACAAGCACATGTGACTTTGCCTACATCTGCATTTAAGATTCTAATGTACATTTTTTTATTCTTTTGTTTAAATTATTAACTATCAACACTAGAATTGAGCATGGTATGTATTCAGAATTATGTTCAAGTAATTAGTGGCTATTTTGTTAATAAAGATGAAGCTTCAATTGTAGATTTGATAATTTTACCCTAAAATTTTTAAATATATAAAAAATAGCATTTTTTAAAACTATAATGGTAAGGCAAAATGTTCTCATCAGATTCGGTGGGCAGATGGGACAGGGAACACAGCTTTCCTGAACCTGGAACTCACAGTTCTGCCACGCAGCTATAGCAAAAGAGCAAGTTTTACTTCTCAAAGGGGAATGCACAGGCTTACAGGTGTACAATATGAAACTGCTGGAGTACAGAGGATGCTCCTTTCTCAAAGTCACAGAAAGATTGAGACATGTTGATATTATTTAAACCCCTAAATATAGCCATTTCTGAAACCAAAAGCGATTTCCAGATTGTTGCAATGGTGTGAATCAACAATTTCAATTATTTTTTCCCTCTTTAATTTACTTTGGATCTTTGTCACTAACAACTGAAACACTCTGCCTAATATTTCGGTGTTCATTATTTTTAGATTTTGTTGTTTAATTTCCTACTGTACTGTTAGATGCCATTCAGTGCATAACTTAGACCTTAAGAATATTCCGCTGTTAACTTGCCTGAAAACAAGATGATTCTGTAGCACATACGAGAGCTTAAGAAGCTCTCCTTCAGGGAAAATGTATCCATTTCTGTCTCCTACCCAAGCTGAGAAAGACTTTCCCCTTCTCAGCTGCCATAGCAGCACTCACAGGGTAACTAGTGATTGATATGTCTGTAAACTCCCAAGGACCAGGACCAGATCTTTCATCTCTGTATTTCCAGAGCCTAGCCAAGTACTTGACATGTAGCAAGAATTCAGGAAATGCTTGTTAAATTATTGGGACTCAACGCCACACAGCTAACTACTTGCCTGGCCCTATGTGGCTATCTCACATCCAATTGTAAACAGCCATTCCAAAACTTTCCATTCTCAAACCCCTTAGGGCAAATTACCTTGCCATCTTTTCTTACAATTCACAAATGATCTTGCCTCCTACTTAATTGACAAAATAAACAAAGCATGAACTCATTCTATTTTCTGTCCCCGTACCTTCAGACACCAGCAATCCCTGCCCCCTTCTCCCTGCCTGTCTCAGAGCATAAGGTATCCCTCTCTCTTACATTCAGAATGTATACCTTCCCATTTACACCAAGTTCAAGATCTTATTCCATTTGTTATCTTCCTTCTTTCTCTAGAAAAATGAAATGTCTTCCTCTCTCAAAAGCAATTCCAACAAAACCAGAAATTGATGTGTGGGGTCTAATTAAACTAAAAAGCTTCTGCACACCAAACTAAAACTAACATCAGTGTAAACAGAACCTACACAATGGAAGAAAATATTTGCAAACCATGCATTCGACAAAGGTCTAATATCCAGAATCTATATGAAATTTTAATAACTCAACAAGCAAAAAACAAATAACCTCATCAAAAAATGGGCAAAAGGTATGAAGAGACACTTCCCCAAAGAAGACATATAAGCGGCCAACAAACATAAGAAAAAAATTCTCCACATCACTAATCATCAGAGAAATGCCAAATCAAAACCACAATGAGATAACATCTCACACTAGTCAACTGCTATTAATAAAAAGTCAAAAGGCCAGATGCAGTGGCTCATATCTGTAATCCCAGCACTTTGGGAGGTCAAGGCGGGTGGATCACCTGAGGTCAGGAGTTCGAGGCCAGCCTGACCAGGACATGGCCTCCTGTTGTATCCATGTTGCTTCAAAGAACATGATTTCATTCTTTCTTATGGCTGCATAGTATTCCATAGTATATATGTACCACACTTTTAGTCCAACCCTGATTGGCATGTAGGTTGATTCAGTGTCTTTGCTATTGTGAAAAGCCCTGCAATGAACATGTAAGTGCATGTGTCTTCTTGGATATACACTCACTAATAGGATTGCTGGGCTGAATGGCAGTTCTGTGTTCTTTCAGGAATCTCCCAACTCCTTTCCACAGTGGCTGAACTAATTTGCATTCCCATATTCTATGTCAATTAATGAAGGAACAGAAAACCAAATACTGCATGTTCTCTTTATATGTGGGAGGTAACAATGTCTATACATGGACATAAAGACAGCAGCAATAGAAACTGGGGACTACCGGGGGTAGGGAGGAAGGGGAACAAGGGTTGACCAACTAACTATTGAGTATCATGCTCAGCACCCGGCTGATGGAATCATTTGTAACCCAAACCTCAGCATCACACAATACACCTGGGTAACAAACCAGCACATGTACCCATGGAATCTAAAAGTTGGAGGAAAAAAAATTAAAAATAAGTGATATTATATATACAAACTTATCTCCAAATTATAAAAATTTTGAGATAGACTATGTTTTATTGCATCTTTATATTTAGATAAATGATAATGAAGATATTATATTTAATTGAATGCAAATTTGTTCTGCCATGAAAATGTAATCTATAGAGAAGAGTCACTCACCAAACACTAAAAACATTAAAAAATCTTATAAATAAATATATTTGAAATCATTTCAGTTTTGGGGAAAATCTCTTTGTGATCACCTGTCACCAATAAGTTATAAACATATGTTAAGACAAATAGAGTAGGCAAAACTTATAGTCGAAAACATTTTATTTCTTGAAAGCATGTTTACCATTATAATGGCATAAGTAATTTTTCAAATTTAACTAAAGGTTATTCGGAAATTACTGGAAA
The DNA here is from genome assembly GCF_000001405.40 of Homo sapiens. NCBI lineage: Eukaryota > Metazoa > Chordata > Mammalia > Primates > Hominidae > Homo > Homo sapiens. Next base: position 40,534,744 of record NC_000007.14, on the reverse strand, counting down.
TCAGAATGAAAGATAAAGAAATTTTAGGCCGGGCGCAGTGGCTCACACCTGTAATCTCAGCACTTTGGGAGGCCTAGGTGGGTGGATCACCTAAGGTCAGGAGTTCAAGACCAGTCTGGCCAACATGCCGAAACCCCGTCTCTACTAAAAATACAAAAATCAGCTGGGCACGGCGGCACATGCCTGTAAACCCAGCTACTGGGCATGGCAGCACATGCCTGTAGTCCCAGCTACTCGTGAGGCTGAGGAAGAGAATCGCTTGAACCTGGGAGGTGGAGGTTGCGGTGAGCCAAGATCGTGCCACTGCACTAAAGCCTAGGCGACAGAGTGAGACTCCGTCTCAAAAAAAAAAAGAAATTAAGAACTAATTATTTGATTCTTACAAATATGTCCTAATTCAATATGAAATCATTGGCATAATGAAAAGCAAATTCTTACTGAACACTATCAATAAGATCAATGTCCTTAGAATTATTAAATTATATTGGAAGTGACAACTAATAGCACACCACAAAAACAGAATCTGTGGTAAGTTACAGGCAATAGACAAAAACCATCTCAAAGAGAGTTTCTCTAGTTTCATTAGTCTTAAGAGAACATAGTAAGATCATCACAAATAGGTATTGGGGATTTTTTTAAATGGTACCAATTTAAAGTTATTTTCCTAAAAATTTATGCCAATCCTAAGCTTATGCCATTAACACACACAAACACTTAGCTACAAAATTTAAGTATATACTTTCGAATGTCACATATGTCTTTTGGATGTAGCAGTGATAGTTTTCAGAGAAAATGGCAATTAAAGAATTGCAAACTGTTCCCAAACCTGTAAGTTATTTGTGTACATCTGTAAAAAGACTGTCCATTTTGCAATATTTTAACCAATAGGGAGTAATAATGTAAAAGAAGCTGAGTAACTTTTTAAAACATGCTGTATTTATATTATGATGCATTATTAGGTGTGACTGAAATGTTCACAAAAGTTATTAAAACACTAGATGTTTTAGAAAGTTGTTATTTAATAGAACATATAAGTGATGGAAAATCAAGTAGGTAATACTATTTTTCAGATCAGAATTTATGTTTTGCCTAAATTTTGGTTATATGCTAAGTTATAAGAATTCTCTTAAATAGGTTAAATGTAGACTTAAAGATAATTTCTTTGCCTTCAAAATTAGAAGTAGTTCTTTAGAAGTGGCTAAATTTCAAAATTTCTTTGCAATTGTGGAAAATATGTCAAAAATATTCTCCAAATGCAAAAAAAGTCTACAAAACTGTAAAAACATAAAACAAGATTTTGGATTTATATATTTCTGCATAATTATAGTAAAATATAAATATTAACACTTAATTGATATTCTAAAATATCAATTAGATTGATTAGATACACTATTACTAAGCTTGTTTATATTTTGAGAGCAATAATTTAAGCAAAGTAAAAGAAAGTTTAGAACTACCCTTTAACAAAATAGACACATATGAAACAATTGAGAATGTGCAAAAATTTTATAGGTGAGGAAAATGTGACTCACAGATTTTTGTTTCATTGGTCAACACATAATTAAATTTTATTTATTATTGTATCACCTTTATACATTTCTGTTTTTAACACAAAATTCAAAATAATGCTACTTGTATTTCATGGCTATTACAGGGCATATTACTTTAGCTTGCACAGTTACTATAGCAACTTGTTATATTCTGCACCATCTGAAAATATTTTGGGGGTAAAAGGAAGGGTTTATAAAGGGATTTAGTAGCCTATCACAGATTTTACAAAGCAGAAACTGTTAAGCAACTCAATAAAAATTAAAGATCACATTTCTATTTACTCATGTGAGCTGAGAGACTGATGATGTGGTATTGGTTTAATTTCAACATAATTAAAATATTGTATTCATAATTCACATACGAAACATTAATTTACAGGTCCTAAAGCTTTACTGTTGTGGAACATAGTGTTGATACTATTGTTTGGATGACATAATGGAATCAGTATGTTACTTTATGAACATCCCCTCTTAATATTAAAAAACAAAACAAACGAAAAACCTTCTTTGCCTAATGTTAACCTAAAATGTCTAAAAATTTTTGCTTGCTTACCTAGAATCAACTCTAGAGAACCTCACACTACAGATTAAAAGTAATCCAAGGCGATCCACAAACACAGCAAATACACACACACACACACACACACACACACACACACACACACACAGACATACTTGCTCAGTTCAGGGTGTCAGACTTGAAGTGATTCTTAATCCTTCAGAATTTACTGGGTCTTAAGAATCCTACAGATTCTCTCCATTCCAGAAAAATTATACACACACAGATACCTATCTAATGCTTATCATTAGGCCTCTCCTTAGGGGAATTAACCCCACATTAATAAATTTTCACTTAAAAGAATGACTATTTTCTTCCTGATGGTCACTCAAGGAGTATAAGGCATGGCTAAATTTTCATTTGTTTCATTTTAATGGTTCCAAACTAAATACTTAAAATGTTTCTGATACTTTGAGTCACTCTAAGACATCAAATCATTCATGAGCATTGGATCCTTATTTCTGAAGAAGAAATTTCAAAACAATTTTAACCAACCCCAGATGAACATCTGTATGAGACCAACCTTGCAGTTGGCCTCACCCCTTAGGCTAGTTCCCTTACTTCCCAGGCTTCTGAACAAATGGTTACCCAGAAGGACAAAATGAAAGGCTTGCCTATACATGTGGCAGAAACATATTTTTTGAATGAATAAAAATATATATGGCCGGGCGCGGTGGCTCACGCCTGTAATCCCAGCACTTTGGGAGGCCGAGGCAGGCGGATCATGAGGTCAGGAGATCGAGATCATCCTGGCTAACACAGGTGAAACCCCATCTCTACTAAAAATATAAAAAATTAGCCGGGCGTAGTGGCGGGCGCCTGTAGTCCCCGCTACTCGGGAGGCTGAGCCAGAAGAATGGCGGGAACCCGGGAAGCGGAGCTTACAGTGAGCCGAGATCGTGCCACTGCACTCCAGCCTGGGTGACAGAGCGAGAATCCCATTTCAAAAAATAAAAAAATAAAAAAATATATATACATATTTTAAAATATATTTGTCTCATACTCAATACAACTTTAAACACATGGCTGTGAAGATAGATAGGAACTTCTTGCTTCTTATAATCTTAAGAGTAAGAGCTATGATTTATTATTACTAATAAATTTTGGAGTAGCATTGTTCTCTACTATTAGGCAATTCCAACTCAAAATTTTATTGCCATTAATGACTGATACTATAGATAGAAATAAAAAGGACCATGAAGAGACAAAAAAAAAATCCAATAACTCCTCTGTGATAATGAGAGGAGCCCAGAATTTGGGGTCAGAAGACCCACCCTGCCATTTACTGTGTGGCTGTGAGCCAGTTGTTTCAGTGCCCCAAGGCTGTTTCCTCATGGGTAAAATAAGCATAACACTAGTTACTTTACAGAGCTCTTCTGAGGTTTAGATAGTGCATGATCTCCCCTAAATCCTACTTTTCAGCCTTTATATCTAGGCACTTTCTCCATGTGCATCTTATGTTCTGTTCAAATCAAACTCCTAAAGGTTCTCGAAAGGTGTCAGCTTCATTCATCCCCTTGGCTTCCGATGCATTCTTCCTCTATTTACTTGGGTAATAGGGACTAATTCATTGAGACTTAAGGAAATCTTCCATGACCATATGAGAAGATCAGCCCATTCGCTAGGCTCCAAGATAAACTTATACAAATTTTACCCTTATATTTACTTGTTTATTATTCCAACTCCTTGACCATGCTGTGTGTTCTTTGAGACCCTAAACTATGCCTTCTATCTCTTCCGTCTCACGTGCACTTAGCACACGCCTAACCCATGATCGAAAAAACAAAAAAACCAATGTTTAAATGAATGCATGTTATACACAAAGCATTGGGCTTAGTTGTCTGTGATATAGAAGGGATTTAGTTTAGATTAGCTGAATCTAAAATTTAAACCATTAGAGATGGATTCACTGATCACAATGATGTGACTTCATTTGTGTCATTTAAGTTTCAGAACAATAACTGCTAGTGGTCCTGAGATGTGTTTTATAAAGAAAATGAAAAACATCATCAAATGAATCTCACATATGGTCAGCACACTCTGCTAAGAATATTTTATCTTGTTTGTATTAAGTTAGCATCAAGGTCTTTCAGCTTACAAATCCCATGAAACATGCATACTGACACACAAGACTCCAATATACCACAAAGCTAAATTGTAAGCATGCTCTTCTCAAGTTTCAGTGTGGTCACTGAACTCAATTGGTTAGCAGTAGTATTTGAAGGCTTTTATACACTTCCTGCTGTTGGTCAGTTTGAATTTTTATTAAAACTATTATATTGTCATAGTCTAAACTATATATTATGTTTAGAATAACAGTGAAGGCATGGAAAAAATGATTCTAAACAGTCATTTTCTGTCGCTAAAAATTATAGAACAAACTACACTCAACTTGCTATAAGTTATAATTAGAATTGTTCAAAAGGAACAAAAAATAGTAATAAAACAAGGAACAAATCTTAGGAGTGAATTACAGTTCTTCCTGGTATAAAGAAATGCATTACTGAGGTACTTGAGTTAGGGAATTGCGTGACACAGAAAGGCAGACTGCAGGCAGATGACTACATGAGCAGCAAAATGCAGGATAGAATTTAAAGGCAAAAAAATTGGAAAGAGGTGAGCAATTAGGTAAAAAATCTTCAGGTACTGACACTCTAGGGCTTATGGTCCACACTGGGCTAAATAAGCTATGTTTATACTGCCACATTTCTGGCCCTCAGAAAAGTCAACTTTCCTTGTACCTTTGAACATAGAATGAATAGCTTAGCTGGTGGGTGTAAAGTTTATTTTCTACAATTCATTTATTAGGTTGGTGCATAGTAATTGCGGTTTTTATCATTACTTTCAATGGCAAAAACCATAATTCCTTTTGCACCAACCTAATAACTTTACTTTTTATCATTGATATGGTTTTCCATACAGGTCTTCTTATACATGGAAAAAAAAATCCTTTAACTTTACAATTAAAAGGAACATTTTCTTCATACTCCTCCTTCTTCCCAAGAGGGTGTTCCTGAATGAAAAGGAACATCTAGTTCCTCTCTCCTCTGGGTTCTCAGGGCTTTTGCTGAAATGTCCTGCGATCTGCGCAGTCTGCTAGCAATCCTCTCCTGGTAACAGTGATTTGTCTGCCCTGGTTTATTAACGGTACCCACACCTGATGACCACGGAATTGCCACTGCACCTGTTGGTGAGTTCTCTGCATTCTGCATCCTCCACTACTCAGCTCCTTGGTGCACTGGTCCTCACAGAATGTGAACACTGGAGAGGAGGTGGAGAGGAAGCTCTCCACTGTTGACTCTGCAGTGTGCAAGACTCCTTCAAGGTAACCTTAGCCTCTCCCATTAGCCACCCCAATGTCATATTGGACATTTCACTATAAAGAGGGTCTACAACCTCCCCCAGGTTCTGGAATTTGGAAGAATCAATTAAACTTTTACTTGTCCACTCCCAGTTTCAAGATCTCACCTAAGGGTGACAGGATGGAGAAGTAACACTGTTCTGCCAAATTTCTTGATCTTCTTCCCCTTCAGTGATCTTCCCCAGTACAGGGTAGATTTGCTCCTTCCTATGTTGTGGGAATTTCCCATGTGTTCTGTCCATTGTTCCTCTCTGTTTTGTTCTGCTATAAGATCCCCATATCGAGTTCTAATTTGTAAGAATACCATAATATACATCTCCTCCTTTTTTCTACCTCAAAAAAGCATGGCTTTTGCAAACAAAAGGTGCTTGCTTGAAGACTGCCATCTTGCTACACATGTTTGAAAGATCAAAGCCAAATGATGACTCTATTGTTTATTGTCATCTGGGTCGATCCTGTGCAAGAAGCAATGAATGCTATTGATTTAACGAGTTGGGGGAATCAAGGAACAAGTAGGAACTTGGCATTACCAGGAATCTAGACACATTATTTTAGTATTTCTAAAATGTATATCTTGAAATATCCACATCAAATCCAAATATACAGTTCAGAAGAAAAGATTTTCATAAAATTATATTTTACTTGGGTCATTCTTAAGAGTTTCGATATCATTAACAAATTATCCTTTTTGGTACAACCTTTCCATTGCTGCTGAGAAAATAAGACAGAAACGAAGATCATAGAGTCTTTCTCCCTAAATCTACTGGTCTAAAACAGAATTTTCCATTCTTAATGTGTGGAGAAATTACTATAATAAAGAATGATTTCTAATAGTAGAAGTGTATCTCTTTAAACCTATGACCAAAATATCACATATTCAATGTTCATAAAGATGACTGTCTAAAGGTATAATATTTAAGGCATTTTAAGTCAGATCTATTCCCAAAGGGCATCCTAAACATCAATCTACATGGAGGTTGTTGTAATCTTTCCTCTCTAGGGGGAACAATAAGTCAAACTAAGTAGTCTAGTCAAAGTAAATAATAAAAGCCAACACTGATTGAGCATCTATTATGTACCAAGAATTGTTCTAAGGGCATTGCAGGTATGATTTCATTCAATCTTCACTGTAGTCTTTCAAGGTAAGTATACTTATTATCTTCATTTTACAAATTAGGAAATGAAGGCACAGAAAGGCTAAGCTGCTTTCTCAACATCACTCCATGCATAAGTAGAGTCAGAATTTGAACTCAGGCAAACTCATCCTGTTGTACTTATATCTATCCACTAGGCTGTACTACCTCATAGGTAAAGGAAATGCAAGGGCACTGAGTTTAAAATGTAAAAAGAAAAAAACTAGGCATAAAAGCCTCTGCTATCTTTGTAAGGACAAAAGAATGGACTGAGATTCCATATTTAGAGTTGGCATGCATAATAATTCCCAGAACCATATGTTTCTAATGACCTGATCATTGGGTCTTTCATTTCTGATCATTTGACATTTTTAAGCATGAATCATCTAATGAAAAAATTACAGGGTTTCTTTTGAACACACTGTTTATTTGTCACCAAGAGATCTCAGATATACTTTAAACAAATTTCTTCTATAAAGGAAAGACTACATACCCTCATGAATGGCATAATCCAAAAATAGAAATTATTTAAAACAGCTCTAACACCTTTTCTAAATTTCCTACATTGTGAAATGACAGCAGTGTCTCCCTTTCAACACTGCCTTCTAGTCAATGTAAAAAGAAATAAACCATCCCCACATGCTCATATTTGGTGTTTACTTTTCCATCAGTCATCTAAAATGGGACACAGGAAAAGGGATGTGTCTGTCTCTGTTAGAAAGAGAAGAAAAGTGAAGGAAAAAGAATCTAATGCAACAAGAGAGTTGCCAGATTTGGAACTGATTGAAAGAGTTTTGTGTCACCAAACATTTTTCAAAGACCTATCAATCTGCAACTCTTTTTATAAACCAACCTGTAATGAGTGGTGTTTCCACACATTTTCTTCACACAGTTGCTTCTGAGTTTGGCAGTGCCTTTGATTTGAAAAAGAATTTCAAACTTTAGATGATCACACAGAACCTTTTTGGCATCATGGAAAAGAATATTTAGATCATAAAGACTTAAAGGAATGTAAGCTAGAGTTCCAAGTAGTTTAAACTTTCATTACAAAGATACTGAAAGCCACATTGCTGTGCTTACAATAAGTATGTTTATAAGCGATGCCATTTGTAACTCTAATTAAATGAGAACTGAAAAAAAAGTAAGAAAGAAAAGTATGGCTTAAAAAATTAGTATTAAGTGAAAAATTCCACCATATATCAAATAGCAAGATAGACCCGAACATCATCATAATGTTTTTATTCACATCTTCTGGCATCAAGGGAAAACCACCTTGGAAAAACCAACAAATCCTTAAAATAACAGAAAAGTGCCAGCACTAACAGTGGTATACTTAGGACTCTCTGGAAAAATTCGAAGAAAGTAGAATAATGAAATTTGTCACCTGCTGACTGGTTTCTGCTGCTTCCAAAAACAAAGAGCACAGCAGACTAGGTTCAGAATGTGCAGACAGAAGAGGAGGATTCTTAACTGTAAAGTGATTGACTCCATTATAAACAAAAATTTTCCCCCAACCAATCCCTCCCAAACCACTGGTTCTCAACGTTTGATCCCAAACAGCAGCATCAACGTCACTGGGAACGTTTAGAGATACACATTCTCAAGCCCCAACCAAGACCAACTGAATAAGAAACTCTGGGAGTGAGGTCCAGTAATCTGTGTTTTAATAAACCCTAAAGATTATTTTAATGCATATTAAAGTATGAAGTACATTGCCTTAAATGTCACAGCACGATCAGTAACAAGTAGAGAAGTCCTTGAAACTGTGAATCCTGATGGTGAAAACAGTTAACAGCTATTGAGGGCTAACTGAGCAAAGCATTCTTCATGGCATATTACTTATATTCTCCTACTTAATCCTTATGGCAACCCTATATATACCAAGTCAATGCAACTCATTCGTTTGACAGGGCACAATGAAAAGAATTAACAAAGAAAAAACAATGCTATTATGAGAAGAGTGAATTTCCTGAATGCACATCTATCAATGGCAACAGAGGCAAAAACCCTAGGAAGCCTCAAAAGAGGATTTTTGCATACCTTTAAAGCAACATTTAACAGTAAAAATCTTCATAAAACTTTTCCTGAAAGACTGACAGGTAACTGTATATTCATGAGTCAACTTCTGAATTAGTTCCATTCTTGGGAGCTGGAGTGAGTCCAGCGAGGCAGATGCACTTAATAGCCTTGGAGACAAGATGGATGGCAGATAGTGCAGCCAGATTGTCCCCAAGTCTGACCAGCACATAACGCAAACACCGTCTTCTGCACCTCTGCTCCCTTATGTAATTAATGGATATCCTTGATGTCAGTGCACAGAAAGCATAAAAGAGTTCAAAATATAAAACATGATTGTGTCTAAGTATTTAAATGACAGCTAAACCAGAAAATCAGTATCAAGCACTTCTTTTTGATCCCTTTATTTAGTTCTATAACTCTATCACTTCTTTTTCAGTAACCCAGGCTTAAAACCCTTATGCTTGTTAAGTATTCATATTTTCTCTCTCTCTCATCCAAGAAATCACCGGATCGTAAAGTTATTATGTTCAGATTCTTCTAAATGTCACTTTCTTTCCATTCCAACTTCCTTCACACTATCTCAGGCCCTCACCCTCTCATCCTAGATTACTGAACAATCTCTTAATCCTTTTCCTTTATACTTCTCATGACACCACTGTCAAATACAGACACTTTCCTCACAATGTTTTCTTGCACAAAACCCATCAATACTTCATTACTGACAGGGTCCAAACTCCTAAGACATAAATATAAACATCTTCACAGCTTGGCTACAACTTTATCTCCGGCTCTTTCCTTATGTGAACCCTACACTCCAATCACAGTTCTATATTCACTATCTTAAAAACATGTCACGAATGTTCATTCCAGTAACTCTTCTTCATCCCTCTCCAAATCTTTGGACAAACAGTGATTGATGCAAAATGCCAACGTGAGAATAGGCATTAAAGCAGAGAATAAATTAAAGCTTGCTTACTCTCCAGGATTTAATTATAGATCAGTGCCTCTAATTTCATTATTCTGTTATATTGAATTTACAACTGTTAGGACAAAATAATGAATGTTTAACAGTTTAACAAAGGTCTTTGCTTAACCTGTATAGAAGCATTTGAATTAAATATTGAGCTAGTGCTATTCCAGAAGCCAAAGATAAACATATTAATGAAGGAAAAAGGCTTCTGCCCCAGAGGCTCACAGTGTAGGGGTGAAGTACACATGCCCCTCCACTCTCTACCACACCACCACCTTGGTCATCCTTCCTGGGACACAGCCACAAATCATTGCTGAAAGAATAGGAATTCCTCTTTGCATTTATGAAACAGCCCTCCAACTACCAAAGCTTCTCAATTGAATCCTTCAAATGTAACTATTAAAAAACTACGGAAGCCAATAATGTGACAATATCCTACAAATAGAACTAATCCCATAGAAATCTGAACTAATCCCTTAAAATTTCTGAAAGAAACAGAAAGAAATTTTAACAGAATTCTTATAATTATAATCAATAAAGCTGAAGAAATACAGCATTCCCTTAAAAACAATGTTCAGAAAAAAGCAAAGAAGAAGAGGAGGAAGAACAGAAAGAATTGGAGGGAGACAAATAATTAACATTTCTGGAAATTAAAAGCATTGTGGTCAAATGTTTTTAAAAATAAATACACGAGCAAACTAGCAAGATGGATGAGAATAAAGATTCAATTAATGATTTGGAAGATCATAAGAAATCACTTAGGACTAAAAGTAGGTCCTAGCAAACACAAGATGTCCTAGCAAAAAGACATCAGATATATGGCATATTTAAAAAACAGGCATTCTTTGCCAACAATCTGATGTCCAGCAAAACATTTGGGAAATTATTAAAATAAATATGAGTTTACTAAGCCAGTTGGAAACAATATCAACATATAAAATCAGTAGCTAGCAATCACAAATTAGAAAATAAAACTCTTAAAGATCTCATTCGGAAAACAAATAATACTAATAAACTAACTAAGGACAAGGGTAAAGTAAATGTGCAAAACATTTTTTTTAACTGCCAACCTTACCATAAACGTAAGAAGGCTTAAATCCTAGAGAAATACCATGCTACTATAGAAAGATTCAATATTATGAAACTATAAATTTGCCCCCAAATTAATCTATGAATTAGATGAAATCCTCTCATGTGATTCTAAAATCTATATATAATAGATCCATGAAATCAGCAAGAACATTTGTTTTAAAAGAAAAAAATTGAGAGAAAATTTGGCCTACTACTGTACTATGTAGCCACAGTAGTTAAAAACTAGCAAGAAATTACTCCAGAAATATATAGACTGGTTAGTAAACAGAACAAAAAGTCCAGCAAACAATCCATGCATGCATGGGATTTATCTTGATAATGATTTTCTCCTTTACTAGGATTCTCAGAGCTCTTTTTCAACTAGGCCATAAGCCAAGGAATGTGGGCAGTTTTTAGAAGGTGGAAAAGGCAAAGAAGTAGATCCTCCCCTAGAACCTTCAATGGGACCTTAACATTGTCAACATCATGATTTTAGCCCGGTGAGACCTATTTTAGACTTCAGATATCCAGAACTAGAATAAATTTGTGTTAGTTTAAGCCACTATGTGGAAGTTTTTTCTAGCAATCATAGAAAACTAATAAAATCAGACACTCATCAGGTTATAAAAATACTAAGATATCCTCTTGCCTTTGACATCATAGTCTTTTCCATGGAGAAAACAGGTACATTTACATATTAAAATTCTTAAGATAGATATTAAATGTCAAGCCATAAGACTTTCTAATTATTTGAATTATACATAATTTCATTGTATCTGCTGATAGTCTGGCTTCATAAATCTTTAGATATCATAAATGCCTGCATGTTAGATAAAATTCATTTGGGGGATTTTGATATAAGAAATAATAATATCCACTAATATCCAATAATATCATATAAAAAAGAATAATATCCACCAATATTCTTGGTTGAAAGGGACTTACCACTTTTCCCTAAATATCTCAGTCTTTGCTATAAGGACTTTCTTCATGTCTTTCTTAATTCCATTGACACTATCGTAAAATTACCTGTTAATAATATATGAATCAAAAGGGATATTCACTTCCCATATTTTGTCAGCTTCATTCAATAATTTGGCAAACATTAATTACATATTATAAAGCTTTTATGCATAAAATGTATTTTTTGTAACAGACTGAATTCTAAAATTTTTTGGAAAGTTAGCAAAATATTTGTCAGTTGAAATTTCTTAAGAGCCTCACCTATAATAGCAGCGTGAAACCCTCAACAAGAGGCAGAAAATGACTTGTCAATATGCACATGGGACAAACATTTTGTATTATATCTGCAATTTGTGGGTTATTCGTATAGCAACTGCAAACAGGTCTACTCAACAGTTAAAACTAAGAGGAAAAAGAAGAACTCAGTCTAGCTACTGCCTGGATGGAAAATCTAAAATATTTATGAGATGTTTTCCTTTATTATACATTACATATTTCCTACAAAATTTTTTCTCCAAATTAACATTTCTTTCTTGCACATTCAATATCAGGATGGGTCAAGTGAGGAGACAGAAAACACATCGTTTCTCTTTTCAGGGATAGTATGATAGAATAATTTAGTAAAAAAATTAAGTTGTTAACCAGGTAACTGTAAGGATAAAAAGAGAACTCTAAGATATTACAATGGTAGCAACTAGTGTAAGTAGTTATCACCCCTATGGCTGGGGATAAACAATGGAAAACATTAGAATTAATAACTTAGAAACTTAGAGAAAGGGCTTTTGAAGCTAAAACTCAGACCTCTCTAAGGAGGACGGGTTGCCCAGTTAGAGTTGGTTTCTCTGAGACAGTACATTTTGAAATTAATTTGCAAGTGTTAGAGAAACTACAAGTTTGAATTAGTTGCTGGTACATGAAAGAACTGCTGCTGCCAAGGTGAACAAGTGTTACTAGGGTGATGACTATTGGAACCATAGACAAAATGAAGTCCATGAACAGAAAGCAGAAAAACAGAAAAGGGGAAGTCTTTTCATCCTCTTCCTACCTTGCCAATTCCCTCTAATGTCTCTTCTCTGTAAAATTCAAACATGAAGTCAGGTTGCAAAGCAGAAATGTGGTTTATAGAATCCCAGGTCCAACATCACAAAACAGAATATAGAAGAGTAAATATCCAGCCGAGAAACAACTTAGTAGTTGGTATAGCTTTGGTGAACTCACATCTAAATATATTCTTTCATATAATACCAGCACCACCAATCTATGTTTCCACTTAACAAAGATGCAACTATTATTAGCGCAAATGAAGACACTATCTCTTCAAAGTGAGTAGACACAAAATCCCAGCAATCATAGTATTCATCCCTATACTACATTATTCCCCAATTTCAGACACTGTCTCATTTGAATTTTCTTACCTAGTACTACATGAAAAGTTAATCTCTAAAAAAAATAAAATGAGAAAAAAACGAAGAGATATAAAAGAATAAAATAGGCATAGCTGCTACAGTCTTTATTTATGCAACCGTTCATGAGGCTGTCACTACTGTTTATAACTTCCTTCTTTCACTATTCCCTGTTTCTCCTAACATCAGCCAAGACTTCACTGGTCAGTAACCTATGCCTTCTTTCTTGAAGTGTCTGAATCCTTACTACTATTTAACACGGAAGTACTAAGAGACTTCCAAGAGAACGCCCTGCCTCCATTGTGTAGCCCAATTTTCCATTAGAAAGGGAAAATTATAATCATGTGGAAAGGTGAAGGCAGAGCCAGCACTTCACATGACTGGAGCAGGAGCAAGAAAGATAGGCAGGGAAAGCACTGTACTACACATTTAAAAAAATAAAACAAAAAACACATCTTGTGAGAACTCACTCACTATCATGAGAACAGCATCACACGGGGATGGCACTAAACCATTAATGTGAATCCGCCCCCATGAGCCAATCACCTCCCACCAGGCCCCATTTACAACACCGGGGATTCAAACTGAACATGAGGTTTAGCTGGGGACACAGATCCAAACCATATCACTGACAATATCTAGTTTTCCTTTTATCATATTTCCTATAATCTAGTGTTTTCACCTGTATTCCCCAGTGTATGAGAATTACAGGTATTTTAAATCCTTTAACCACATTTGCAATAAAATTATTTACTAGTTTTGAGTTGAAATATTATTTTAGAAACAATATTAGAAAGTATACCTGACAATCTGAAGGATAAATACAAGAAAATGTGTCCCCTTTAAATATCTCCATTCTTTGTTCTGCCACCTAAATTGCAGCAATAAACACGTCCTTCAGACACTCTACAGAGGCACATGGATGTGCTGCCAATTTATTATTTTTTTAATTGAAATGCTTATTCAAGTCATTTTACCTGGGTCACTTGTGTCCATGAACCAGAAGTATAACAGAAGTGAGAAGACAGAGTGGCAAATCTCTCACCTCGAATGTGGTTTGTCAAGGCCAAGAAATTGTACTTTTCTTCCTCCTATTGTAGCAAATGCCTTGAAAGAGTGCTAATTGTACAGAGTGCTACAACCTGTGTTGTAGCATTCTGTGGGCTCCTCTGAAGGTAGAAGTTTCGCTTAAAATATAATGACTAATACATTAACAGAGTTCTTTCATATCCATTATTTCTCTTGATGTTAAGATAACCTTGGGAGATAGATATTTGCACCACTTCATAAACCATGAAGCTAAGCTTCACGGGCAGACTTACTCTAGATTACAGTACTAAAAGCCAGATTTTCTGACCAAAACTCTTAGAAAACCACAAAAACCCCTCCAAAGTTTAATAGACACCAGAATTTATTTAACCTGTCCCATCTTTAGCTTTTCTAATAATATTCAATGCTATTTGTTGAAAACTATCAAAATTCTAGTATTGTAAGGATACCATGTGTCCTTTTAGTGTTTTGTTTTTATTCCGTTTGTCTAAGAAACTTGGTATTAGTATGTCCTAAGTATGAATTGATGGTCAACTCTTAAGTCGGATTTTTCTTTCTGTCTGTAATAAGTAAAGCCAGTTTCCCATTGTCTATTTCCATAGTCTTTCAAACTTTGAATTTAGAAGCTATCCACCTTCTTTTTAAAATAGTCCAAATTCCAAAGCATAATATGATATAACAGAACCACTTGCTATTGGTAACTCTATCATTTACTCAGTATCTGGAATAAATGAGCAGTTGAAATGAGTGCTTCAACAAATTTGAGTCTGTTGGACACCTTTCTAAATTATCTATTTTATTATCTATCTGAATTATCCTAATTCTCCATTAGAGTTTCACACTGAATCTGTCTTTGCAATATAGGTTTCTCCTACTGGAAGGAAAAGTAATTTTTATTAATTATTAACTTAATATAAGATTTCTTTGTTTGTAATTGTGAGCTAATAAAATATATCAACAGCTTGTCTTATCTTTTATACATTGGCCCATTAAAATGTTTATTATACTTTCTATTCTCCTGGCAATTTATTTCAGAGATTTAATTCAGACATATAATGTCAAAATTTTCTCAATCCTTTCTCTTCTTGGCGCCAAGAATTTTCTGTGTCTACTGAACATACAGCATTCTGTGCCATCTCTTATGCAGTGTTGTTTCACTGAATATTTTATTTATTAAAATTATTTATTTAGAAATAATTGCAGACACACAGAAGAGTTGAAAACATACTACAAAGGGTTCCTATGTACTCTAGCTAGCTTCCTCTAATGCAAGCATCTCACATAACCATGGTACAATTGCCAAAACTAAGAAACTCATATTGGCAAAATGCTATTAACTAAACTAAAGACTTTATTCAGATTCCACCCTGTTTTACTAATGTCCTTATCCTGTACCAGGATCTAACTCAGGATCACATTTGGAATTTAGTTCATTCTAGGACAGTTACTCAGTCTTTCCTTGTCATTCATGGAGATGGCATTTGTGAACAGATATTTTATGGAATGCACTTCAATTTGTTTGTCCGATGTTTTCTCACGATTAGATTGAGGTTATGGACTTTTGGAGATACTATCGCAAAAGTGGTGTGCCCTTTGTTGCAAATTATATCCAGGAATACATGATATTGGTGTCTTATTTCTGGAGAAGTTACCAAGCACACAGAGTTAAGGTGCATTTGTTAACTGGAAAACTTTTATAAAGAAAACTTATTATATTCCCTTATTCCCTAATTTATTTATTTAAGCATTTATTATATCATGAATATTTATTTTATTCTTTTGAGTTGTAACTCAAATAATTCTGGTCTATTTATTGTCATTTGGATTATCTTTTGTGAAATTTGATCTAACTTTGGCCATTGGGAGTTCTTTTTGGTTAGCTCCTATATATTTTTGACTTTTCTGGCACCACTAGACTTTCAGACATATTTTAGATGGTTTCCTGTACCCACCCTGGAATCAACCACTACTCTAAGAAGCTCTGATACTTTTAAATAGGAAAAGAATATTTGGAAAACAAGATCTGGGAGCTACATAAGTTCCTGACATCTGGGATACAACTGCTTCTAGAACATCATATATATGAATACTAATTAATGCATGCATAACATATCTATATTTATTTCTGCATCTAAGTATCTGTTTGCATTTTAAAAACAACATCTGAGTTGACATTGGTTCATTCTATTATTCCCACTTGGTTTATTAATGACATCTTTCTACAACATAAGTAATCTGGCTTTCATTATCTAAAATATATTTGCTTATGTGTTCAAACCTAGTATACAGATAAAATAGTCTCATAACTGTTAGCCCATACCCATTTGAAAAACAAATTTACCAATTGGAAGACATTGTTTGGATGTAATAATCATTGTGCTTGGCCTTACAGGCTCTGGTCAAAATAACTGGTTTCAAGGCTACTGCAATCAGCTCTTTCTTCCCTACCCATTTCAGTGTGGTCATTCATTTGTCACATTCTGGATTCCATCTTGGGTTCTCTTGGTATCCCGGTTGATTTTTTCTTCATATATATACTATTTATACTGTAGGCTTGAGTGAATTTTGATAAGTGCATAAAGTTCTGTGTCCACCACCACAGTACCATATAGAAGAGTTCAATCTCCCGCCAAATTCTCTTGTGCTACCCTTCTGTAATCACCGCCTACCTCCATTCTCAAGCATCAGCAACCACTATTCTGTTTTCTGACTCCATAGTTTTTCCTTTCAGATAATGGTGTATAATTGGAATTATATAATATGCATCCTTTTGTGGCTGGCTTCTTTCATACAGCAATATAGATTTAAGATCTACCGGGATGGGTAGAAGGGGTGGCAACTTCCAGAATGACAGCATGAGGACCTTCATGGACCAACTACTCTACAGCAAATCAACCATAAGTGGTGAAAATCATTATTAAAAACAACATGTAACACTTCTATAAATCATCCTCAGAGCATACAGCAAAGAAAGACATGCTTAGAGAGGTAAAATCTGCTAAATTTCAATAAGAACATCAATACTAGGCCCAAATATCACACTTAACAGATAAAATCTTCAAAACAGTCATTATAAATATGTTCAGACAGCTAAAGGAAACCAACACCCTTTTATGATAAAAACACTCAACAACTCAAAATACAGAGGAACCTTCTAACCCTGATAAAAGGTACCCATGAAAAGAACACAGTAAACTTTATTCTTAATGGTGAAAGATTGAACGCTTTGTTTCTTAAATCAGAAACAAGACAAGGATATTTGCTCTCACCAATGCTATTTAACATTCTACTGGAGGTCCTATCCAGGGAGATCAAGAAAGAAAAAGATAAGAAAAGAAAAGAAAAAGACAAGAAAAGAAAGTCATCCAGATTGGATAGGAAGATAACATGAGCTTACATTTAAAAAATCCTAAGGAATTCACATCGAAAAAAAAAAAAATGCTACTGGAACTAATAAGTGAGTTTAGCATGATAGAAAGATACAAGATTAACCTACAAAATTAATTTAATTTCTATGTAACAGCAATTAAAATAAAAAATTCAAAAATGAAATTAAGAAATAAATTTCATTTACAATAGTATCAAAAAGAAAAAATTACTCAGGTATAAATTTAACTAAAGAAGTGAAAGACTTACTTACTAAAAATTGCAAAACATTTTTGGAAGCAATTAAAGAAGACATAAATAAATGGAAAAACATATCACCTTCATCGATCAGAAGACTTAATTAATATTGACAAGACATCAGTATGAACGAAAATTGCATATTCAATGCAATTCCTAACAAAATCCCAGCTGGATTCTTACAAGAAATTGCCAAGGTTTTCCAAAAATTCATGTGGAAATGGAAGGGGCCTAGAAAAAAACAAAACAATCTTGAAAAAGAAGAAAAATGAGGTACAGACACTTCTTCATTTCAAAACTTAACAACAGAGCTACAGTAATCAAGACAGAGTGGTATGGGCAAAAGGATAGATATATAAATTAATGAAACAAAATAAACCCTCACATTTATAGTGAATTGGTTTTCAACAAGGGTGCCAGAACAATTTAATGGGGAAAGAGCAGTCTTTGTAATAACTGGTGCTGTGCCAACTGGTTACTCACGTGCAAAAGAATGAAATTAGACTCCTACCTCATACCCTATACAAAAAAAAGACTCAAAATGGACTAGAGACTTGACTGTAAATGGTAAAACCATTAAATTATTAGAATAAAACATATTCCTAAATCTTCATGTCCTCAGATTAGGCAATAGTTTCTTGGATATGATACCAAAAGCACAAGTAATAATGTTTTTAAAAATGGGTAATTAGTGCTTCATCAAAACTAAAAACTTTTGTGTGTCAAAGAATACAATCAAGAAAATGAAAAGAAAACTTACAGAATGGAAGATAATATTTGCAAGACATTTTTCCAGATGCTCTCAAGAACTCTTATAACTCAATAATAATAGACAAATAACCAAATTTTTAAAAGGACAAAAGATTTGAATAGACTTTTTTTCAAAGCAGACAACGCGTCAATAATACCTTAAAAGATTTTCAACATCATTGTCATTAGTGTAATGCAAATAAAAACTACAGTGAGATACAACTTCATATACACCAGTATGGCTATATTAAAAAGAAATGAAAAGAAGAAAGAAGAAAGGGAAGAAGGAAGAGAGGGATGGAAAAAAATAAAGAAGTGTTGGCAAAGTTATGAAGAAATTCAAAGCCTCACACATTGCTGGTGGATTTGGAAAATGGCGCAGCCACGTTGGAAAATATTTTGGCCATGGTTTAAAATGTTCAACATAGAGTTATCATATGCCCCAGTAATTCCACTCTTAGGTACATACTCAGAACATTGGAAAACCATATGCTCATACAAAAGACTACATGAATTTACATAGACATACTATTCATAGTAGCCCAAATTTGGATACAATACAAATGCCTATAACAGATAAATGGCTGAGTAAAATGTGGTATACCCACACAACAGAATATTATTCAGCCATATAAAGGAATGAAGTACTGATACATGCTACAACATGGAAGAACACTGAAAACATTGTTCTAAGTCAAAGAAGACACTCATAAAAGTACACATTTTCAATAATTCTGTTTACATAAAATGTTCAGAATAGGCAAATTCATAAAAACAGAAAGTAGATTAGGTTACCAGCGATAAGGGGAGGGAAGAAGGGTGCGACTGCCAATGGTGTTTCTTTTAGCAGTTATGAAAATGTCCTGAAATTAGATGGTGGTGATGGTTACACAATTCTGTGAATGTGCTAAAATCCGTGGATTATCTACTTTAATAAAAAGGTAATTTTACAGTATGTGAATACCCCAATAAAGCTGTTTTTGTAAAAAGGTCACATAGTGTATGATTCCATTCATATAACATCCTTGAATTGATACAATTATAAAGCTGGAAGACAAATTAATGATGGCCGTGGATCAGGAATGAGGGTGGGTGTGGGTGTGGCTCTCAAGGGGTAGCATGAAGGAGATCTTTGCCCTGATGGAACAGCTCCGTGTTTTGATTGTGGTCATGGTTACAGAAATCTACACATGTATTAAAATGACATACAACTCTATATACACACACATTGTAACTATGCCAGATTCCTTGTTTTGCTGTTATACTATAATTATATAAGATGTAATTATTGAGGGAAATCAAGTGAGAAGTCCACGAGACCTCTCTAACCACTTTCAGGATATTCTGTGAATCAAATTATTTCACATTTAAAAATAAAAACATGTTTTTAAAAATAACTTCCATGGTCTTTAAATCTCATCTTTATCATCAATATCCTGATTATTAATTTGGCTCTCCATGAGTTCCTTAATACCTGAAAAGTATGCCGTGGTAAAGAGACGTCATGTGTTGCTGGCTTTGAAGCAAATCTCTCATCGCAAATACATAGCTTGCCTTTTTTTTTTTTTTTTTTTTTTTTTTGAGACGGAGTTTCGCTCTTGTTGCCCAGGCCGCAGTGCAATGGCACGATCTCGGCTCACTGCAACCTCCGCCTCCCGGGTTCATGCTATTCTCCTGCCTCAGCCTCCAAAGTAGCTAAGACTACAGTCATGTGCCACCACACACGGCTAATTTTTTGTCTTTTTAATAGACATGGAGTTTCACCATGTTGGTCAGGTTGGTCTTGAACTCCTGACCTCAGATGATCCAGCCTCCTCGGCCTCTCAAAGTGCTGGGATTACAGGCATGAGCCCCCACGCCTGGCCTTAGCTTGGCATTTTTGTTTGTTAATAAATCTCATATTTTTCTGTAAAATAGTAAGTTAAATTGTGATTCTTTTCCCCTGGTGCTTAGCATAATGCCTTGCACAGCTGGCACTCATGAAATATTTGATAATAAATGAAGTCTGAATCTTCAGGTCTCAGAAAACAAACTGAGCTGTGGTGACTCTACATCAGGACTGTGAAGCCCAGCCTAAAGGAAACATCAACGTCAATTTAAGGCATCTTCTTTTCTATGCATAAGTTTCTGAGTCACTGAAAAAAAAAACAGTCCATATTTAATTGTACTTGTACTAAAGTTTGCATAAAAATACTTCCCTGATGCCGGGCACGGTGACTCACACCTGTAATCCCAGCACTTTGGGAGGCCGAGGCGGGCGGATCACGAGGTCAGGAGATCGAGACCATCCTGGCTAACACAGTGAAATCCTGTCTACACTAAAAATACAAAAAAATTAGCCGGGCATGGTGGCAGGTGACTGTAGTCCCAGCTACTCAGGAGGCTGAGGCAGGAGAATGGCCTAAACCCAGGAGACAGAGTTTGCAGTGAGCCGAGATCGCGCCACCGCACTCCAGCCCAGGTGACAGACCAAGACTCTGTCTCCAAAAAAAAAAAAAAAAAAAAAAATACTTCCCTGAGCTTAAAGATCACACAGTAAGCATTATCTCTAGGAGAATCCCCTAATTTAAATAAGTCCTAATTATAGCTCATAAATATCTTCAGGACGAAGGTCACTTTTTCAAAGCCATGATGTCATTGAGTGCCTGTGTAAGAGGATGGTAGAGTATAAAAGAGCATCTTGCCTTACTGTGTTTGCTCCTGTACAAGAGTATCCCTGAGGTTAGGTAGGTCCTGGCTTCCCCCTACTTTAGTGACAATTTGAGAATAAGTGAAATGGAGCTCTCAGGAAATAGGAACTGAATCTTATCACAGAACGCCTCTTTAAAACAAGTTTTATGATCCTAAATGGCCAAAAACAGAGCTCAGAGCAGGTTAGCTTAGCCCAGTTGTAGTTCAATATAGCTCCCCAAGATGCCCACACATATCCATATACTAAAGTAGCTGATTTCTGGTAACCTGAAGCACAGTATAGCTTTTACAGGGCTCATTCATTGGTCATCCATAGCTTGATTATTATCAGAATTTGAGTTTACCAGAAGCTGAGGCCCAGAGTTCTGACTAACAGGGTATAAGACAAAGGTTGAACAGTTATGGTGGGCAAGATCCCAAAAAATCACACGATGTATGATTTTTGGTAGGTTGTGTTAAATGTGGCTTGGACCTGAAGACTGCTATCTTCTAAACTAAAGCTCCACCATGGGACTGATCTCCCCTACATTTGTCAACTGTAGATGTATACAGGCGTATCTACATCCCGGATCATGCTGGGCTCCATTGCCCAGAAGGATATTGATACTCAGGATCAGCAGAATCCTCTCCTGCTGGTATGAGTCTATCTGCTCCACTTCCAGTAGCTGGCATCATAGTATATGGTGCTACAATTTGAATATAGATCAAACTCCCCAACATGGCATACAGGCATTCCAAAACTGACTCTTAGATTCCCCATTCTCATCTCACTATCTCTCATCTGCACTCTATCCTCTGGCCATGCATACAACCTGAGTTTCTCATATTTCCCCAGCAGTTTCACACTTACCATTTCTATGCCAGTTACTACTTCTGCCTAAAGTACCTACCCCTTCACCACATTTTCCACATTTTCCAGCAAACATCTTACCATCTTAAAAAAAAAATTTCCATCATTTTAAAGTTCTTTATGCATGTACTATCTCACTCGTATATGAAATAAATGAAATATAAATCATTAAAATAAATAAATATTTAAAGAAAACTGAGGCATATAGAAGTTGAGTAATGCCCAAAGTCACCCACTGAGTAAACGACAGAGCCCAAAGAAAAAGCCAGGTCTGTCTAACTGTGTAAAACATGTACACAGCCACAGCACTCTATCTAAAGTATTCTGTGGTTCTAGAATGGAATCCTTGCAGAATCTTTTAAAAATTCAGATATCCATAACTCCATCTTAAACTTGTGTTTCTTCTTGCTGGAGCTCTGGGATATGTATATTGGGAAAGTTTCCCAGGTGACACTGAGGCACAATGTATTTGAGAACCTCCACCTCATGATATAGAAGGTCTTAGAACAAGTATTGACACTTCAGTGTACCACTAGGAATTGGACAGCATCTGAAACCAATTTTGGTGATACACCATTTTTCAAAAAAGTTAAATGAGACATGTCTATTTTGCAAAACTGAGAATCTGTAGAGAAGTACTTCCAGGAGTAACTGCATTCTGGTAACATTTAATTACATTTTGTAAATTAGCAAAAATCTGTTTTGTAAAGAAAAATGAATTTAAATTATCTTTCATTTAAATTCTTGACAAGGGATCAACTACAATTGTGTGGAGAATAGATTTGATTTGAACATTTGATTGAGTGTGTAGCTGTCTTAGTGGTCCTCAGGCATCAAAAATAAAATCTCAAGTATGATGAAGAAATATTAATAATATTTCAGGCTTTATACTACTCATTCTTTCATGTTTTTGGAACAAGAAAAGGAGGATTATTGTAATCAATAAGTGTGAAATGAGACAAAAATGAAAACCATGGCATATATAGGGCTCCCCCTTTGCCATTATACGCTTTAACATTTTTTAAAAATTCAAGGCTCTTTGTCTTTGCATTTATGTAATGTGAGATATTTGAAATGAAATTTGTTTTGTGTTATTTTTGCTTTTTATTTAAAATAAATTCAGACTTGCAAAAAAGTTGTAAAGTGAAGTTTTCACATACTCCCATCTCAACTTCTACTATTAACATCTTACCTAATCATGGTAAAATTATCAAAACCAAAAAATTAAAATGGATACAGGGCTATTAACTAACCTGCAGACTTAGTTTGAATTTTGTCAAGTGACCCAGTAATGTTCTCTTCTCTGGGTTAGGAGGCAATCTAGGATCCCACACAGCATACAAGTGTCATGTCGTTCAGCCTTCTCCAGTCTGAAACTGTTCTTCAGGCTTTGTCTTCCATAACCTTGATGCTTCTGAAGAATACTGGTCAGCTTAGGGACAATGGTCCCTAAGTTTAAGTTGGCCAGATGTTTTCCCACAATTAGATTGAAGCCATGCATTTCGGGCAGGAAATTGAGATTATACATGATACCAAGGGGTACATGATATGGAAGTTCGCTCTCGGGATGTATGATGACTTGGTTAAGCTGATGTCTATAAGATTCTTCCACAGTAAGGTTATTACTTTTTCCTCTGTAATGACGATGATGGAAAAATACTATGTCTAACTGTGAAAACTATGTACACAGCAACAGCACTCTATCTAAAATATTCTGTAGTTCTAGAATGAAATCCTTGCAGAATCTTTTAAAACTTCAGATATCCCTAACTCCATCCTAAACCTGTGTTTTCTCTTCCTGGAGCTCTGGAATCTGTATATTGGAAAAGTTTCCCAGGTGACTCTGAGGCATCCACCAATGGTCCTTTTTCCCACAACAATTATTACTGTGGTGTTTACCTAAGGGTAACCTTCTATTTCTCTTCTGCCTTCTAAGTTTATTAATTGAAATTCTACATTTCACATTTATTTATTTATTTATTCAACCATTTACTTATTTTTGTACGACCTCATGAATACTTATTTTATTCCGAAAAGTATAATCCATTAATATAATTTTGTAACAAAAATGGTCCCAAAGTGGCTGTTGAAAACGCTTAACGTTGCCTCTTTGTACTTCTGTCATGTTCCTATCATTTTGTGAAAACTTCCTTACTTAATAGAACCACAAGACGTTCCAGGATTATATTATATTTGAGGTAAAGTATGGGACAGATTATTTAGTACTGCTCAGATACCAAAAAACAAGATTTCTTTTTCCTCCCTCACCCCGACCAATGCAGACTCTGATACTTTATCTCTCTTTCTGAAAATTCTGGTTTCCCTCACACTCCAAAACACTGTGTTTACCAGAGAACACGGAATAAGTGCTAGATAACTATCAAATGCCTTATATAGAAAAATGATATTTAAGGAAAGTAGTTTAAGAACAAGCTAACCATTCATTCCTCTATATCAGATTTTCTCTGTCTTTTCAACAAAATCATTTTATTTTAATAAAAAAACAGAATTATATATGTAATTAAAAAGCAATACAGTATTATTAAATATATCTATATACATTTCCAAAACTATAACATTCGCTTACCTTATAATCAATATAATAAATAATGTTTTATAATTCTGGTTATTTATTATTTTATACAATATATTTCCATAGCTTGAATTATATATACTATGAAAATTCAAATTCCCATGAATAAGTACTTACAAAATATCTAAACTTTTAGAGCACTTCAACTTAACAACTATGTCAGGATTTTCTTCAAGCAAATGATCAAAAAACTTTTTTCAAAAATAGTAAGAAAATGTTGCTTTAAAGTTGGAACATTCAGGTTGCGGGTACAATGGAGCAATAACTCTACACCATCTCTCCCACTGAACACAGCTCTAAATCCTGGACAGAATACAAGGAGCAGCTATTTGAGGATTCAAAAGTAAATAGCAGCAGATGGACTGAGGAAGAAGAACAGAATTCAAATACCAGCAAACAAGTGGTAACATGATTAACTTTTTTACTCCTGTATCCCCTGGTCTGAACTCAACACACAACAAACAAAGAAGTGAGCCCTGAAAAGCAGACGGAAAGAAAAAGCCCAGGAGAAGCCTTTTAGTTCTGGCTTATAGGAAAGGGAATGCAAAACACTCAGAGAGAATGTAAAAAAAACCCTCAATTAAAAAAAAATTATTTTGTTCATTTGCCTACCCGCTGGACTTCAGGCAATCCTCTGCTGACAATGGTAACAGCAGCAGTGACAAAAGAGGGAATGGGAGTGAACAAAAGACAAAACCCTAAGAAAGGAAACATTCCTCTAGGTTTAAAGAAATGACAGTTTCCAAAGGGTACAGCCAAATACCATTGGTCTTTTTCCCTTTGTGATCTCCTGCCACATAGCCCCAAAGACAGTGTGGCTGCGGAAGTGCACAGTAGATTAGGGTAATGAAAGTCATAGTATTTTGGCCAAAGGACCAAAAAAAAGGTATCCCTAAAAACTGGAAATAACCAGGGAGATCATGAGAGAAAAACTTGAGAATATGACTGTATAAAGTTGCTTATGAATCACATAGTTTATACCAGAATAATTTCTGGCAATCTACTTATGCCAATTCCTAAGCCCTATGAAAGATACTAGAAATCAACGGACTTTGTTAGTCCAGAAACATAAATTTTAACAAAGCTCCAGGATGATTCTGGCCCATGTGTTCTTTGGGAGATTACTCCAAACACACTACTGTAAAACGTCCACACTTTTCTTTCAAAAAAAAAAGCGAGATAGGAGATCACAGCTAGCAAGGTCAGGGCAAGGAGGCTGAACACCACAGCAGGGCACAGTCAGACATTCTTGAGGGTGTAGGAAATAACTGGAAAGAGAATAAGCACCAAGCTCAGAGTAAAATAAATTTAGCACATTTATTCTGATAGGGTAAAGATACATTTGGGTTATCTTGGAAAGAGGCAGGGTAAAGTGTGCAGGACAGGACTTTTGAAATATACCCTCTTCTTAGCAAAACAGCAATTTTTCTGGTGAAAATTTTTTTTTTAAACTGAAATTCTCTGGAAATTACTGTAGGTCATATGGCAAATGAAAAAACATTCATTCAAGAGAATCAACTAAATCTTAGTAAGAATGGTGAGGGTCCATGGCATTTGAGCCATGGCTTATTCCATTAACCTCCACCATCACTACCAAGCTCTACACCTCTGCATTACAAAAGCTTTAACCGAGGCAGTCTACTCCAGGCAGGTGCAGCCAAGATAAGGAGGGCTTCCTCTCCACCTACCTTCTACTCTAGGACTATGGCTTTACCCCATGAGGAGCAGGCTGCTGTGTTTTTCACTTCTCATAGCCTGTGCTGCAGAAGCTATATTCTAGGCAGACATAGCAAAAATGACATGGTCTGCCTTCCCCCATCCCATCCCCACACATAGGGTGGAAGCTCTACCTTAGGCACGGCAGGCCAAGGCACCGGGGTTCTTGTTGCCCCTGTTACAGCTTAATTGTAGGTAAAACGATCCACTGCAGAAGGACCAAGCCAAAAAGACTAAGGGCACTCACCACCACCACTTCTAGTTCTCACTCTTAGAGCAGGAATGTTACTCAGGAAAAGTGGAACTTACCCCAGAAGTCTGGTACAGTGGCAACAAGGTTTTGGCCTGGCAGAAAGGTAGGTCATAAGGATGAAGAGTTCTCCAGCTCTGCCTGAGGAGGCTATCCTTACGTGGAAGAGAGAGTGGAGAGCTCTAAGTCTAAGGGCATTGTTGAAAACAATACAGGTTTTTCTGGGGAGCAATTAAGAGAAAGATGTTAGCTTCATGATACTAGCAAAACAGCAGACAAGCAAGTTTAATAGAATCAAGAAAAGAGACAATCAAGATGAGCCCTTCTGAGATCACAGGCAACTCTGTATGCAAGAAAGGATGTACACATATGTTCGGCTTTACCAAGAAGGGGTAATCAAAGCACAATTTGGGGCCAGACCTGAAAGTATTCATCAGGTTGCATCCTGACCCACCCAAAACGCAGTAGCCTCACTGGCACGAGGTACTTAAACTCTAACCAAACACTGAGTGAACAGTAAGCTGCTCTGACCCAAGGGCAATGCCTAGAAAGCTAGGCTTCAAAATCACACTCATCCATGGAAGTCTGGGCAACTATGTCCATATCTAAAGGCTGGGTCCTCTCAGAAGCAATGGCAGAGGGAATCTTCACATTACCAGACCCCGGCTGAATGTGGATGGGTAGCAGGGGTAGGGGGGTGAGTAAACTACCTTAACTGTGATAGCAGTCTCTAAGTCAAGCACACACATCCAACGGTAAAGGATAAAAAATATAACTGGCTAAGAACAACCTTTGATCAATTAGTAGCTTATAACATATGAAGAGTGACCCCTAGAGGTCAAGATTAAAATCTCCTACCCCAAGGTGGCAGATAAAAACAATTGGAAAGACTCAGAGCTGGGACCTCAAAAGCTATGCACTGTAGAAAAGGTGGGTGGCGAGGAACATTTCGCAGAACTGGTTGGGCAAAGTTAACGTCATTTGAACTAGTGAGCAACAAACAAAACAACCTTAAAGGTCGGGGAGGGGAGATCTAAAGTGTTCAGTTAACAACAAAAAATTATGAGACACACAAAGCACAGTAAAGTGTGACCAACATACAGAAAGAAGAAAGCTGGCAACAGAAACTTCCTTTGAAGAGATCCTGATGGTAGACTTAGGAGAAAAAAAAACTTCAAATCAGCTGTTATAAATATGCTCAAAGAACAAAAGAAAACCATGCCTAAAGAAGTAAAGGAAGGTATGTTGACACTGTCTCCTAAAGGAGATAATATCAATAAGGAGGTAGAAATTATTCAAGTTATTAAAACGAACCAAATATAAGTTCTGGAGTCCAAAAGTACAATAACTGAAATGAAAAATTTACTTGAGGGGTTCAACCATAAATTTGAACTGGCAGTAGGAAGAATCAGCAAACTTATAAGATAGATTAATAGAGATAAGCAATATGCAGAACACAGACAAAAAAGATTGGAGAAAAATAAACAGAGCCTTAGAGAAATATGAAACATAATAAAATAGAAGAACATAAGTATAATGGAAGTACTAGAAGAAAGAAGAATTTTTAAAAATCAAAGAAAAAAATGGCTGAAAACTATTCAGATTTTATGAAAAACATCCAAGAACCTCAATGAACTCAAACACATCAATTGTATAAACAATACGTCCAAGAAGCTGAATGAACTCAAAGTAGATTAACTGTTAATAGAACCACAAACATCCAGACATATCATACCAAAAATGTTCAAAGACAGAGGAAATCTTTCGTCCTTGAACAGAGGAGCAAAATAAAAATGATACATTACACTCAAGGGAATCTAGTAAGATTACCACATTACTTATTATCAAACACAATGGAAGTCAGAAGGCAGTGGAATGACATATTCAAAGTGTTCAGAGGAAGAAACTGTCTAACAAGAATCATACCCAGCAAAATATTTTTCAAAAAAGATGGCAAACTAAAGGCAATCTCAGATCAAAAAAACGTGGAAAAAAATTCACATTGCTAATAGACTTACATTAAAATGAACACCAAAGAAAATCTTTTAGGGTGAAAGTAACTAATATCATCAACACACTGAATCCATGCACACATAAAAAAGAGAGCACCAGTAAAAGTAATCATGTATGCAATTTCACAAAACAATACAGTTGAATATTTCTTCTCTTGATTGATTTAAAAAGCAATTTCAATAAACAATATGTATATAAATGTATTGTTAGGCCTTTAACATATATAAATGTAACATATTTGACAATAATTACACAATCATTGTGAGTAAGAGCAAAAAGCTATATGGAAATAAGAAAAAGATACCATTTAATAACTCAAATCAATAGCAAGAAACTAAGAATAAGATAGGGTTAACAAAAAGATTACTATAACAAATATTATCAATATAGACTTGCTCTTATTTCTTTCACCAGCTTCCATAAAAGATTTAACATTATATGACATAATATTAAATAAATCTAATACTATAAGAGTATATTGTTGAGTTTTTAATATACATAGATGTGTTTCATATGTATATATGCACACACATACAAAAAGGAAGTGTGTAGCAGAAAACATTGTTTTGTTGTAATTAAATCAGTACAAAACTGAAGTCAATTTCGGTAAATTGAGATGCATATTACAAGGCTTAGATAAAACAATAAGAAAACTCAAAGATATTACTTTAAAAATTCTTAAGGGAATTAAAATTGTATGCTAGAAAATACCAGCTTAGTACAAAAGAAGGCAATAAAGTGGCAGCAGAGGGGTAAAAAAGACATAAGACACATAGAAAACATAAAGCAAAATGGCAGATGTAAATGCAACCTATCAATCAAAACATTACGAATGGCTTGAATAACCTAATCAAAAGGTAGATATTTTCAGATTGAATTAAAGAAAAAAAACAGGATCCACCTATCTACCATCTACATGAGACATACTTTAGAATCAAAGTTACAAACAGGTTGGAAATAAAAGGATGTATAATATAATCAACCACCATGAAAGAGAATAGAGTGGCTACACTAATATCAGAAAATAGATATTAAAACAAAAATGTTACTAGAATTAGAGATACCTTCATACTGGTAAGACAGACAAAGGGACCAAATAGACATCTACAAAATATTCCAACAGAATACAAATTCTTCCAAAAATACATGAAATATTCTACAAAATGGATTATATGCTAGGACATAACAAGACTCAATGAATATAAAAGAGCTGAAATCACACAAAGTATGTTTTCAAACACAATGAGTGATATCAGAAATTAACATTAGAAAGTTTGGGAAATACATAACAGTGGATACTAAATAAGACATTCCTAAATCATCAAGAATTTATAAATAATCTCTTTATATTAATGGTGAATTGATTTTGAGCAAGATTAATTGACATGAAAATTCACTAGAAAATAAAAGTCTTTTCAACAATGGTACCGAGACAACTGGATCTAGGCCGGGCACGGTGGCTCACACCTGTTACCCCAGCACTCTGGGAGGCTAAGGTGTGCGGATCATTTGAGGCCAGGAGTTCGAGACCAGCCTGGCCAACATGGTGAAACCCTGTCTCTGCTAAAAACACAAAAATTAGCGGGTGTGGTGGCACGCCCTTCTAATCCTAGCTACTGGGAAGGCTGAGGCATGAGAGTTGCTTGAGCCTGAGAGGCAGAGGTTGCAGTGAGCCAAGATTGTGTCAGTGCACTCCAGCCAGGACAACAGACCAAGGCACTGCTCAAAGAAAAAAAAAAATCTATTCTTGGCCAGGTACATAATCCCAGCACTTTGGAAGGCTGAGGCAGGAGCACAGGCAGAGGCCAGAGGCTGAGACCAGCCTGGGCAACATAGTGAGATCTCATTTCTACAAAAAATAAACAAAATTATCCAGGCAGTACAGCCTGGGAAACAGAGCAAAACCTTGTTTGTTTGTTTGTTTGTTTGTTTTTTAAAAAAGAAGAAGGTCTATTCTCCCAACAAATTTGAAGTAGAAAATACATTTTCCTTAACTATAGTCACTATACTGTACTTTAAGTCTCCAGAACTTACTCATGTTATAAGTACCTTTATAAATGAAAAGTTTTATATTTGAAAGTTTGTACTCTTTGACGAACGTATCTTTCCATTTACGGTTAGCAAAGCTGACCTTCATTTTATGTTTATTGATTCTTTGGATTTTCTGAGTTTGTACAAAGTGGCATCTTATGTCTTCTGCCCATTATTCTCTTGGAAATTTTAGTGTTTTCTATTGTTTCTAAGAGCTCTTAAGATATTTATGTTACAACAGCATTCGGTCATATTCATTGCAATAACTTAATATTGCTCTGTAACTAAACTTTGTATTTTTATCATACCGATATGTACTTTACAGGTTTTCACTTTTACTAACCAAATTTATCGATTTCTTTTCTTTCTGACATCTGCTATTGCATTGATGCTTAGAAAACCTTTCCTTTTCTTAAAATCTAACTGATTTTCATGAATACTTTCTTTTAATTAAAAATAGTCTACAGTAAACTCTGAAACCTCTATTATCTGGGCATAAAGCATAGATATAATCTTAAGAGAAAAGTAACAGTTAATTTCCGTTATTTCAAACAGAAAATGTCTCCCTTTCTCCTCTTATTTGTCATGCTATTTTTATCACATGCCAAATCTCTATGCATGTTTTAAAGTTTTTCTTTATGTTTCATTGATCTATCTCTTTATTTTTTGCTAGCCCCATTATTGTGGTTTTGGAATATATTTAATTATGTATGATAATGCTTGCTTCCTTCTCATTACTTATATTTAAACATACAAAATATTTGCTATTCTCGTCCACATGTTTTTTATGGTAGACTTGAAAAACCACTTGCTAAAAAATTTCAGAAAAATATTCTAACAGGACTTTGATTGCAATTATATTAAAGCGATAAGTAATCTGGGAATAATTGATACCTTAACAATATTCAGTGTTTGCAGCCATGAATGACTACGTCTCTACATATATTCAAACCTTTTATGTCTCTCAATCAAGGTTAATATTGATAGTTTTCTGTATCTAGGCCTCGGATTTTTCTTTTCAACTCCCTCAAAAAAACCAAGCCTGAAAGCCCTAAAATCTGACATTATTTGTATGAGAAAAGATAGTTGCTAACTTATTACCTGTTTTCATTTTGTTACTATAGAAATCATTTGTTTGAGTAAAAGCTTTTCCTTCCAATACAAATTTAGGAGGTTGCCAAAAAGAAACGGGTAGTAGAATGCATGCTAATTACGTACTCCATATAGGACTTTTAAAATACGAAATTCTTATGCCTTCAAAGCAAATACTATGATGATATTAAGTCTAAAATTATATGTTAAATTTAGTTGGAGGCTAACAAATGAAAATTAAAATAACTAAAAAGTGAGGAAAGCTGGAGAATAAAGTGAAGAACAAACTCCCACATATTTTTATAATTGGCTAGCTTGATCCCGCCAACATTGCAGCCAATAGCCACATATGGCTACTGAGTACATGAAATGAGACTAGTCTGCAACAAGTGCTATAAGCATAAAATGCACAATGGATTTCAAAGACTTAGCACAACATTTAAAATGTTTCATTAATGTTCTCCTTTAATTTTAATTGCATTTATATTTTGAATATTTTAAGTTAAATAAAATATATAATTAAAATTATACATTTTGCTATTAATTTAATATTGAATTAATTTTGCTATTTTATTTTTAAAATTTGCCCATTACACAATTTAAATCATAAATATGGCTTGCATTAGATTTTTATTGTAAAGCACTGTGCTAAACTGCTTTCAAAAATTAGCTGGTACTAATTACTCTTTATTCTGGGTTGCAAAATGCCCCCAAATAGTATAATTCAGTTTTCTTGATTTTAATTTTTTACACATTAAAACAATTATGTCTTTGGCTTGCAAGTTCAAAGTTTAGTAAAAGTCAATGATTGTACTATATATTTCCACTCTGAAATATTATAGAAGTGTTCAGAAAACATAAAGTACATATGTGGAGCTTGATGAATAAACTATAGCACATGCTAGAGAAAGAGCGAGAAACAGAGAAAGAATAATGTTATAAGACATCAAAATATATTTTATGTATCAAGGTCACAAATAATTTCAAAATTACTAAATAGTAAAAGCTGAAACCCTCCATTATCTTCTTCTTAGTCATTAAGAAGAAATTTATTAATAATAGAATAAACTAATTACAACAGGCATTTGAAAGGATAAAGAGTTCTGGGGCAAATATGCTTAAGACATTTTAAATTTTTTTTGTCAGATTTTAAACTTTTGTTACATCATTAAACAAGAAAACCCCAAGTTTTATGCCTGTTATTTCTTGCTATTAGAAATGCTCAGAGCATTTATGGGTAACCCTTCTGTGACACTGAACACTTTCTACCTTAACCTAAACTGCAAAGTCCTTGAAATTTTGACAGCTTTGTCCTCTTGATTCATTTTCTACCATCGTACCATTCCTTGCCAAATACCAAACACAAGACCATACACATAGTGGATGTCAATGATGATTTACTGAATGAAGGAAGGGATGATTGAATGAAGGAAGGGATGACTGAATGAAGAAATGATTATGATCTCCTATGTCCCTGTGTGTTATAGCTTAAAGACATTGTGTCCATAAAAAATGTGTCCAAATTTTGTAGGTATATAGAAGAAAAAGAACATAAAATGCCCATAATGTTATACTAAGTCCTTGATTCTTATTCGACATTTTAACATTTCCTCTTAAATAATAACACAGGAAGTTTTTTGCAATACGATAATTTTCTCAACTCAAGATAAAACTGTACACTATTGCCTCATACTTTATATATTAATAAAAAACTGGGAGCTTAAACTCTCCATTTTTATTTTATTTAATCACCTACATCAAAAATACATTATTTCTTCAAATACTTAAAATATTACACCCAGGGATGATAAAACAAATACACAAATAATATGATGTATCTAAATTTGTACATCAGTTGAATGTGTCATGTATATTCAGAGACACACATAAAATTTATGTTTTTATCTCCTTGCCTGCTAGGAATTATTTCCAGACCTACTATTTTACATCAGATCTTTACCAACAGTTTTCCAGTTGCAAAGACCACTGTATATATGTATTTCCCAGCAGTATTAGAAACAAGAATATAATTTTGCTTGACTTGTATAACCCTCTGAGGGCTATGAAACTGCATTTCAAGAAATATTAACTAATGTCATTTGAAAGGTGATCTTTAAAATGCATCAGAAGTGAGTGTGGGTGTGTTTGTGTGTATGTGTATGTGTATGTGTTTGTGTGTGTGCGTGTCTGTGTGTGTGTGTGATAGAAAGGTCTTGAAAAATAACTGTATTTTGGGGGTGCTTCTGAAGTTTGCTATATGAACATTGGCCTTTTTTAAAAAATAAGATGCTCAGATATTTTGCCAAAATGTGCTAAAACAAAATCACTCAGATAATATGAGCTAGTCTAGAGATTAATAAACTCTCCAATTTCAAAAGCTTATACAAATAATGAGATGAAAACAGACAATTTTCAGCCATCAAATATTTCAAGACTTCACTCTGTTTCTATGACATATTCATCCCATACAAAAGATTTGCTAAAGGGGTTGTAATGGCCTTCTGGGACAGGAAGAATAAGGTTTCTGGAGAAAATGTTAAATTAATTTTGATGGTGATGCAAAGTTAAGAAAGGGTTGTTAAGGGATGGCTTGCTGCCACAGGGTGGGGTTTTGTTTTGGTATCCTTTTAGAGCC
Source organism: Homo sapiens (assembly GCF_000001405.40). Taxonomy (NCBI): domain Eukaryota; kingdom Metazoa; phylum Chordata; class Mammalia; order Primates; family Hominidae; genus Homo; species Homo sapiens. Next base: position 40,500,420 of record NC_000007.14, on the reverse strand, counting down.
TGCAGGTGTTTGGCACTAGTTAAAATCAGGGCCAGCTGTGATATTTCAATAGTTCTGATATTTTCCTCCCAATAGATCTCAGAAGTGATGCTTCAGGGTGATGTCTTACACCTGATATATTCGACTTGTGTGGTACAAATGTGAAGACTCTATTAAATAACACCAGGTTTGTGACACCCTGTGCCCTCTCTTCCCTACCCTCAGGTCATGGCATCCATGACAAAGAAAAACACTAATCAGAGGCTTCAATCACTCATAGTTTTTAATTGAGCAGTTTAATCAAAGATGGTGATATGCTGGAATCACCAAGTAAAAAGTCTTAAGCAAAGCCTGAAAGCAGAATGGCACATTCCCTTTTCATTCTCAACGTAGACAATGATGCTTTTAATCCCTCTCAGTGGTGAGATATATACCTATGTTTGCAGGAATTTGAATAGTTTCTATTAAAAGCTGTATTTTCTTTTAAGTGTGTTTCAGTTGGAAACCCTCAAACCACAATGTATTTCATGCACATGTTCCCAAGGGTATGTTAAATAGGACCATACTGAGGTCATCTAGTAAGTTTTTGAAACTTTTTAAGAATTCCTTTAATGTACTGCACAATCTTGGCTTGATTAAAAGAAGATATTTTAAGAAAGCACTTGGAAAAATGACTGGCTATTAAAATCTATATGCAGATAATCTATATTATACATCTATAATGCACAGAGCTTTCCACAGATAATTTGTCATTGAGAAAGACAATAAAACTCCCACTCTAAGGGTTTTGAATAAAAACTCCTCAGAACTTTCAGTAAATGCAGACCAATCCCCCTCCAACCAGCCTGCAGTATTCTTGATTGACTTAACAGTGTATGCCTGCAGGATCACTTTAACTGTGCAAAGGTCTGTCACATATAATCAGAGGATAAAAGGTAGACAATCTCTCATTTATCCATGAAAAAAAAATATCATCTGTTGTTTTGATTGAATCGAAAAATCAAGTTACCTCAATCCATGAGACTATGATGAAATTGTTAGGCTAGAAATAGTTTCTACCATCAAGTAAATTTTTGTTGTCTCCAAGTTCAAACCACAAATGAAATGCTGTAAATGGTCTACTTGAGAAGTAGGCACTCAAATTTTTCTGCCGTTACTGAGTCTCCCAATCCTGGCTTTTGTTGTTGTTGTTAGACATACCCCTTTTCACTTTATCAAAGTCTCCATTCCTACGCCATGTTCCAGGCCTTGTACTTCACCCAAAGCAATTTCCAGTTGAACTAGCAGCTGTGCTGGCACAGCGCACATGGAGAGTGGGCCACACGCGCCAGTGGTGCGTTCCCACATCTGAACAGAAGTGGCCGTTTCCATGCACCAAGCGCCAAGAAACTCTGCAGCTCATCAGAGGCAAAACAAGGGAGGATACCTTAAACGGAAATCATACTTAGAAAAAACTTTTACGGAAAATGAAAAATAAAAGGATTTTCAATCATCAGAAATGAGGAAGGGAACTTCTCTTCTTGGCATAGATTTTGCAGATATATTTTTATAAAAGGATAGTAGAGTGCAAGCTTAACTTAATGATCCCCATCCCCAAAGCTACACTGGATTTTCCTCTATCCACTACACAAAGGTAAGTAAAAGAAGTTAAACAAGAATATAACCTTAAAGGGCACCATCATAACCACAGCTACTACTAGGCATTGGCTGTTTACCATCCTGCAATCCTTGTGCTGTTCCCTTCATAAACAGTATCTCAGATGCTATTTCACCATTTTACACTTAAGGAAACTAAAGTCTAGAAGTTTATAATAAACTGCCCACCAATTTTGACTCCATGGTCTTAACCATTATGTTACACTGAGTTCCCTCAGATCACCAAGGGTTTTACAACCAGCCCTGAAGATAGAGCTTGTCAGCCTCACTCAGGAGTACACAGGATGATAGTTCTGGTGGGGAGGATTTTAAAAAGGGGAGGGGGGACTGCAGAGGAGCAACTTGATTATTTGGAAAACTTGCACATTCCAGAGTTAAACAACTCATTAACCCCTACCTTTCTAATAAATAAATTCAAAATGGACTTAAATAGCAGGTACACATTGTGTACTGAGTTTCTGCTAAGTCACAAGCACTGGATATATCATAAGTTTGTTGAATAAATGAATGAACTAAGTCATCACAGTTAGATGTCATCTGGAGGGTTTTCAAAAATAATCTGTTTTACACAAATTTACACACAGGGCAGTTTGTAGAGACATTTGTAATAGTATGAAAAGCTTGTACGTTGACTTAGGTAATATAAATTTTCTCCATTTTGGAAACTGGCTAATGACTGAAAATATGCCATAGACCAATAACAAAAATTTTTGTAGTTCCAGAAGAATTGAGATGCAAAGATTAAAGTAATTACATTGAACCACAAGAGAAAATTAGTTATAAAAATCCTAATTATCCTATATTCACTTTGAGCTAGCCAATAAAGTGAATTATTTTAAGATAGTGGGTGGGATTATAAATCTTTGTTTATCAAAGCCTAAAAAATAGGTAGTGTTAGAATATACTTAATATATTTTTAAATAATATAATTATTTAAAAATAACTCTTTGCTTTGGTGCCTTCATCTCTAATAAAACACAGATGGAGCAATAGAAATGCTGATGGAAAAACTCTTAGGAAATATCTCCAGAAAAATGTACCCTCAAACTGAGGTAAACATGAAGTTCTACGTACACCTCAATACACGACAGCTTCAAATGATGGCTTGGCCTCACTCAAAGTTATAAAGTGAGAAAAACAGTCCCCTGGTCTACTATATTCAGAGTATGCACAATGCTACCTCCTTGTAAAGAATCACCAGGCATTAATCCACTGATGGTGTGGGGTCCCTTTCAGATGAATTCACATAGTACACACCAAATGGGCCCCTTTATCTCAAATACTTATTGACCATTATTGACCAAAGTTTTAACATGAACAAAGCCTTGAGATATTCACAATCTTGGCCGAAAAAATAGCACAAGCAGAATTCCTGAATTCATTCACTTTTTTTCTCCAGTAAATGTAGTAACCATTAAATTTAAAATATTTCAATTTTCTTTTAAGCAGATATTCATGTAAGATAAAAGGCACCAAAGGTTTTCCAACAAAGGTCTCCTCCCTCAAAAGGTGTATTCTATGCTCAGTAATTTATTTCTAAGAAAAACCTGCCACGATATAAATATAAAGAACCCAAGAAAATATACCCCATGGTTTTGAATTTTGGAAACTGACAAGACAGTTGAATAATCATAGTGAAAGCTTTAAAATGGACTCCCTGTACTTTTGGGGATCGATGGATGAATTTGAGAAATGGTAAATTGCTTGTAGTTTTTTGATTGAAGTAATAAAATCAAAACATTATTTTCACATAATCTAAAAATAATCACTTGAACAATGTTATAAAGTAAATATATTTTCAGGTGACCCTGTTCCTGGAGCCCAAAAAGGAGCCTGATAAGCAACGTAGAGCACAAATATCTATCTGTGTAAAATTTATGCCTTACAAATAACACATATTCATCAAAGCAAACAAAGTCCTCTCATCTGCAGAATTAAATATGACTTGCTCTGTACATTTTAAGATAATCATATGATCAGAGAGATAATCATATGATCAGAGGTATAATCATATGATCAGAGGTTTAAGATAATCATATGATCAGAGGTATGAAAGTTCTCATATTTCTTCCTACAAAGAATAGTCTCTGAGTACCCAACCCCAATATCTCAATTGTGTATATTTCTGTTTTTCAGGAAAATTAAATACCCTGGCCACAGAAACTTCATGTAGTGGCTGATGAAGAAATACAGTATATTAAATCTAACAGAGACATAAGTATGCTTATGGACAGGCACTTCTAAGTTCTGGTTCTTTTTATCTCAGACCCACAAACAATTTTAATATGATGGTGAAAATTCACATCATGTGACTTAAGCTTGCGATCAATGGCAAAGGTACCTTGATATAAGTCAATCTGGACAGAAAACAGAGGCGTTGTTAAACTTCAAAAACAAACCTGAGGTTCTGCAAATACATTCTTCATGTTGTTGATTGGGCCATACGGGACTCCACTGCCTTCAAAAAGATATAACCACTTGCTGGTCAGTTCTTCTTCAAACCTAAGAAGACAAACAAGGATAAATTTTTTACACAGGAAGGAATGTAACACAGCCTCTTCTATCATGTGGCCCTCTTTGAAAGCAAGCAATAGTCATAAAACTATGTTTCCTAGTCTTTCTTTACACCTCATTTGAGAGAAGGTTGTCTGTATGAAATGACTTGAGTGGCCCTGTGGTGGATAAGAGTAGCCACCCAGGTGCTAGTGTTTAAAAATCCATCATTTAGAGATGTAATTCTTCCTATTTCTATTGCTATGAACTCTCTGAGCAATTTATGAATTTAATAATAATAATATCATTGTACTTTGAGCGTGAAGTCATTGGGCAATATGTCTTTTAGGTCTCAGGTAGTGGAAATCGGGTTAGGATAGGCACTGATATATTATTCTTCAAAACAAAAAAAATACTAATATAGCTGTTTTAAGAAAGCTTTGGGAAAAGTACACAAAAATTAATGGTCACAACCATTGGCCTACAAACAACCTTTGCACTGTGATTTACTAACCAGCACAACTCAAGACATGCAAAGAGTGATATTTCAGTTTAACCAACAAAACTCAAATTCATCCAAATCCTTTGTCTGTTTTATTTCTACTATAATTTAAAATTGGACTTCATAGACAGAAAAGCACATGGATTTTCTTTATTTTCTCTAATAGGTCTCAAGGAAGGGAAGCTAACACATTTATGAGATTTATTGTTTTATATTTCTTCTCTGTAAAAACAGTGAACACAGAAATAAAATCTTGGATCTATAGGGACACCACAACACAATTAGTTTCTAAGGTATGAAGAATTTCAGAATTATTGATTATTAAAATATCAAACCTGTTTTAATTAATTAATAATCTAGGTAACCAAAGAGACATTTTTAAAATATTAGCCAAAGTAGACTAAAATGTTTTACTAATATGAAAGGGCTAGTGAAACAATAGTAGAGTATTCATGGACTTCCCTTCAGTTCTCCTGTACATAGCTAGAATTAGCTTCAAATCTGCAGACTCCAGAGGAAAATGTATTAAATTTACTTCTTTCACCATTAAAAAAAAAAAAAAAGCATAGAAATAGTTTCAGCCGGGCGTGGTGGCTCACACCTGTAATCTCAGCACTTTGGGAGGCCAAGGTGGGTGGATCACCTGAGGTCAGGAGTTCGAGACCAGCCTGACCAAAATGGTGAAACCCTGTCTCTACTAAAAATACAAAAATTTAGCCAGGCATGGTGGCGGGTGCCTGTAATCCCAGCTACTTAGAAGGCTGAGGCAAGAGAATCCCTTGAACCCAGGAGACAGACGTTGCAGTGAGTGAGGTCGCACCATCGCACTCCAGGCCTGGACAACAAGAGCAAAACTCCATCTCAAAAAAACAAACAAACAAACAAAAAGAATAATTTCAATACTGAAGTACACTTCATTGATTGCTATGTAAGAGAAGAAATGAAAAACGAGAAATAAAAAGAAAAAAATGGAATAAATGTATGTTCCAAAATAAGGCTACTATATGAACAATGATGTTCAATCATATAAGTTTTTACTTAAGGATATAATAAATATTTTTTATAAAGGTAGTATTACATTTCACTAGGAGTCTAATCAATCCTATCCACACATTCATTTACTGATTGCCCACTATACACCAAGTATTGATTTTTGTTTTTAAGTATATGCCTTCCATTTTCTCTCCAATTTGATGGATAAGGATTTTTTATTATACATTTTAATTTCAGCCCACTAATGTTAACTACCCCTATTTGGTATACAATAAAATACTTCACTTCTAAATATAGTTTTAAAAAATCTTTCATAAGAATAACAATGCAAGGTTAAATGTTTGGGCTCTAATCAATTCTTTACATTCTTACTTTCTTTTCAATGACTGTTCCAGTCATCTCCTGGCCAAGGCCTCCTAAAATATATATAGATAAATATCATCAAAATGATATATGCTGAAAGAATAAAAGAGATACTTTGAACCTGCAGCCTTTTCGAATAGGGTGTCAATTACTTAAGTTTTCATAAATGGAGTGTTAAAACAGTTAGCCTGATAAATTTTCAAGACAACAGAATTTATCACCACTGGACTCACCAAAGTGGCCTGAAAGATCTACACAGAAAATGCATGTCAATATCCAAACAACCCATGGCTGCAGGTTAGCCAACAGAAAACTCAGGGGAATAGTTGAAGTTTTAGTATTTATATAAGCTTTTCACCACTGGGCAAAAGAGAGGGATTTATTTCATGTTATGGAAAACAATGGATGCACTCTGGAAATGAGACTGCGGGAGCTGCAGTTGTGACCACTGTTTGCGTCTTTGCGTGGGTGTGGGTGTGGAAGGGTTCTGAAATGCCATGAACTCAATCAGAGAGAGACAGAACATCGTTGCATTCCACTGCTCTCAGAGGACATATCCATCATTTTTTTTCTAAAAATCTATCTCTTGATCTAAATCGGATGTGGAATCCTTTATGCAAAAAGCTGTAAGCACATGTTTTTATTAACCACAAAAATTCTGCTAAAAAAAATTTAAAAAGCTGATCTAAATCACTCAGGGCAATAGATTTCAGAAGATAAGACAAAAAGAATGTCCTCAGATCCAGCTTAGCAAGTGAACCTAGGGCCTTCACTGGGAAATTATTTGGAGACTCACAAACAATTCAAATTTAATTGGCAACTTACTAAATCAACACATATATTTCATTCTAGATTTTTGTAAATTCACTTAATACTGGGAATGAGTATTATGAATCAAATGGTATCATTTAGATAGGTGAAGCACAGCTGATGTTAAATTTCCTAACATCAACATTCCACTTAAGAAATGAAACATTTTTCTCTTTATAAAATGAATTAAAGTTGCAAATGAGACAAATACAAGACCAGACAGAAACTAACAAGAGATCTCAGTCATGAAGGTGAGAGTTGGAAATAATTGTGACATTAGTGACAACGAAATGCTGGTTATTAAATTGTTTAGTCTATATTTTGTCAATTTTATCTTCACAACCACACTATACAGTATTATCCTCATTTGACCAATAGGAAACTCAGGTTCAGAGAAATTAACTTGCTCAAATTCATTCAGCTTTTAGAGTCAGATGTCATGTTTAAAGCTGAGACTGCTTAACTCCAAAACCACGTTCTAACACATAATGACTGTAGCAGAATACACTCAGAATGCATAGCTTCACATATTTTATTCATTATATATGGTCACAGCTAAAAAATGAAGGAGCAGAGGTGAAACTGTTCATTTTTTGCACTAATAATATGCTTCTTCACTTCTATCGTATATACCTCAGTATATATTATTACATTGATACACATTCATTCCCGATGCTTTTAGCAAGAGTTTGTTTTGCATCTGCCATGGAGATTGCAATAAAAAAGACCGTCCCTGTGTTAAGAGTTCATATAGTCTAATGGAGAACACAGCTATGAAAATAGATGAATTACAATGCAGGATGCTGAAACAAAGTTACGAAGAAACAACTTATGGTTGAAGCAACAAAGAGGGAGACTTGCACTGGACCCACGGAGGCAGGAAAGCGTTCAAAAACAACGCGATATTTGAGCCAAGTGTTGAAAGACAAGTTAGAATTAGACATATGAAAGATGAGAGAAAGGCTCTTCCAGGTAGAGAGAGCAATATATACAAAGATCTAACTTGGAAAGAATCTGAAATCTCCCGTGCCCCAAGTGGCAGAAGATGAAATGTGACAGAGAGTTTAGAACCAGAATGCAAAGCAACTTGTCTGCTGTGCTAAGAATATTGGATTTCTTCTTGCAACAAGGAACCCAGAGAGGTCTTTAGGCAGGGGACTGACCTACTCAGCACTGATGCGGACAATGGGCTGATGTAGGTGAGACTAGAGATGTATGGCTGACGTAGATGAGAAACTTGACAGGAGGCAACATACGCTTTGCCTCTGATGCATCCAAAATCTGCTGATTAGTAGTATCTTCCATATTATTATCAATAACAAAAACAAGTTCCCATTTGAAAAAAAAATTGTTTTCTAGACATTCCTAACCCTTTTAATTACTCTTATATATCTGTTTTCAATCCACCATCACTCCCGAGCCTCTGAAATCTGGTTTGGTCATGAATGCCTTTTCTTACCCAGTCTCGAAAGGTCTCCAGTGATCATTTGTCAAATCCAATATTCTTTTCATGGTTGTCACACTACATCACTATGTAGTATTTGATGATGTTAACTATTCTACCTGGAGTTCTTGTGACACCATTCTCCCTTGGTTTCCTAGATTATTATTTATTTATTTATTTATTTATTTTTGGAAACAGAGTTTTGCTCTATCGCCCAGGCTGGAGTTCAGTGGTGCAATCTCGGCTCACTGCAACCTCGACCTCCCAGGTTCAAGCGATTCTCCAGCCTCAGCCTCCCAGATAGCTGGGATTACAGGTGCCCACCACCACGCCTGGCTAATTTTTGTATTTTTAGTAGAGACAGGTTACACCATGTTTGCCAGACTGGTCTCAAACTCCTGACCTCAGGTGATCCTCCTGCCTTGGCCTCCCAAAGTGCTGGAATTACAGGCATGAGCCACCACACCCGGCCCTCCCTTGGTTCTCTAAATACTGCTTTGGATATTTGTGCTTTTTTTTTTGACACTCCCAGTACTCTTTGTTCTCTTTTACTCACCTAAGCCATCTTGTCATCTCTATGCAGATGACATCCAAATCCATATTACCAGCCCAGACCTTTTTTTCCCTAGTTCCCTTTTTCTAAGTATCATAGGATAATTCCATTCAGATGCATTAGCATCCCCATGATATCATGACCACGGAAGATTTTATGATTTCCATTTCCTTCATAAACCTAGGATTCCTCACTTGCCAGAACTCACACCCTTGGCTAAACCTGGAACTCCTTCCTTTTCATCATTTCTTACAACTTAGATACAATTGCCTTATAGAATCAACTACTCCTCCATTCGCACTGTAACTATCACAGTCCTGGCCCTTGATTCCGCACACCCAGACTATAGCAATATCTGGTTAAAAACATATTGCCTCCAATATTCCTCCTTCCAAAAAGTCACCAATGTTAGTTGTATCTCAAGTCTGTTTGACTGTCTCCTTCCCCAGTACCACTATCTTCTCTCACACTAAAAACAGACTGTTACTTGACTGCCATTTACACAGTAATTAGAAGATAACTGGCACTCAGTATTTGCTGAATGAGTGAATATATGATGATTTGGAAAGAATAAGAGTCTCTCAGTGACATTAGTTTGAATTAATGTGGTACATAATTGTCTCCTAAAACCTTGGAAAGACTATGTTTAATCAGACCCAGACACTGAGAGAAGGACGACAATTTGAGACTCTTAGATTAAAATGGAATAGCACAGCATCTCCTCTTAATTTTTCTTTGAGACCAGTCCCTAAATTCTGTATGTCTTGCAGAAAATCTTGCAGTATGTCTTAGGGAAAAAAAATTCACATTTCAAAAACTGACTAACATAAAAATGCTTAAAACATCATGTTTCAATTTAGGGACTTCCTATACTTTCCAGAGTCATAAGATCTCAGGAATTCAAATGACCTTAAAAATCCATTCTTTTAGAGTGACAGCAGCAAGATGAAGGAATAGGCATTGTATAGCTGAACTCCTCCACAAAGAAATCCAACTAGTAACTAACATCAGGCAAAAGTACCAGTCTGAATATTCAAGGACTTGAGAGGCTGAGACATCCTATTGCACCAAAAAACTGAGAAAAACTGTAATGAAATGGTAAGAAGAACAATTCTCTGGCCCTGTCACTTCTCTCCCAAGCCAAAACAGCACCACACACTGTGAATTGCCCTACATTCACAATTTCTGCAGTGGGAAAAGTGGAACTCAAAGCAGACATTCAGGTTCCCCACCATTCCGAGATCTCATGAGAAATTTTGAGAGTACCAGCAGGGCTAGACCACCTAGGCTCAGTTAGAAACAAAGCACAGGGTTGGAGCTCATAGCAACAAATATACAAACCCTGGTGGTTGCTCTGCATTCTGGCCAGTGAAGGTACCACACAAGAGAAACTAGCCAAAAACATTATGCTGCAGGAAACACAGACCACAGGTCTTCCAGGCTTGAACCCACGAACAGCCTCCACACAAAGCTGGTGCTCTCATTGAGTCTTCCTCAGATTGATTCCAGACAGCTTCTGTACCAGCTGTATAAGTCAAGGAACTCAAGCCTGGGTGGCACTGGCCATGGTTGTCCTGGGCTTAGAGCTCCTTCTAGTGCTGCAATAGCTATAGTGATCATAGGCTTTGGGACCACTACAGTGGGTCTGCTCAAGATTTCTGGACAGGTTTACTGTTGAGGAACATTACTAGGCATAACCAGATGGTGAGGACTGTAACAAATATCTCCTTCAATTCACAGGCATCAAAACACAACCACAAGGATCAGGAACAATCAGGGAAACATGACATCACCAAACGGACAAAATAAGGTGCTGGGGACTGACCTTGAAGAGATAGAGATCAGTGAAGTGCATGACAAAGTATTCAAAATAGCAGTTTGTGTGTGTGTGTGTTTTTTGTTTTGTTCTGTTGTTTGTTTTTGTTTTTTGTTTTTTGTTTTGTTTTTTGAGACAGAGTCTCGCTCTGTCACCAGGCTAGAGTGCAGTGGTGTGATCTTGGCTCACTGCAACCTCGACCTCCTGGGTTCAAATGATTCTCCTGCCTCAACCTCCTGAGCAGCTGGGACTACAGGCATGCACCACCACATCCAGCTAATTTTTGTATTTTTAGTAGAGATGGGATTTCACCATATTGTCCAGGATGGTCTCTATCTCTTGACCTCAGGTGATCCTCCTGCCTCGGCCTCCCAAAGTTCTGGGATTAAAGGCGTGAGCCACCACGCCTGGCCCAAAATAGCAGTTTTAAGGAAGCTCAGTGAACTTAAAGAAAATACAGAGAAACAAATATCAGAGAAATGTAACAGAGAAATTAAAATAATTTTTAAAAATCCCAAATCCTGGAGGTGAAAATGAAGTGAACCCCACCCCAAAAAAAAAAAACTGCAATAGAGAACATTAAAAAAAGAATTAACCAAGTAGAAGAAACATCTGTGAATTCAAAGTCAGATTATTTGAAAATATACGGGCAGTGGAGAAAAAGAAAAAAAAATGAAGAATGCTTAATGGAGGTATGAGACCACATTAAAAGAGCAGTTGTTGGCATTCAAGAGAGTGGAGAAAGGTAAAGGGGTACAACCACATTTAAAGAAATAACAGCAGGAAACCTCCCAAGCCTGGAGAAAGATATAAATATTTGTTCATGGAAAAATCAAAGATCTCCAAACAGATTTCATCAAAATCAGGCTAACCAAATATATATTATAATCAAACTGTCAAATATCAAAACCATAGAGAGGATACTGAAAGCAACAAGAGAAAAGAAGCAATTAACATATAAGCAACTTTCAATACACCTGGCAGAAGATTTCTCAACAGAAACATTTACAGGTCAGGAGAGAGTGAGATGATATATTTAACACATGGAAGGAAAATAACCATCAACCAGGAATACTGTACCCAGCATGTTATCCTTCAGAAATAAAGGAGAAATAAAGACTTTTCTAGACACATAAAAGCTAAGGAAATCCATCCTGCCTTACCAGAAATGCTAAAGATCGTTCTTCAAGCTGAAAGAAAAGGACATGAGTGAGTAATATGAAAAATCTGAAGTATAAAACTCACTGATAAAAGTAAGTACACAATCAAATTCAGAATATACTCATATGGTAATGATGGTGTGTAAATTACTTATATCTTTAGAATGAAGGTTAAAAGATAAAACTATTAAAAACAATAACAACTATGATAATTCGTTAAAGAATATGGAATGTAATGTGATGAATGTTGTGACATCAAAAATTCAACATGTGGAGAAGAGGGAGTGAAGTGAAAATGTAGAGTTTTTTGTTGTTGCAATCAAAAATTGTTATTAACTACAATAATGTGCTATAACTATTGTTACGTGCTATAACTATTACAAAAATCATAAGTTCTTGTAAACTTCATGGTATTCACAAAGAAAAAATACACAAAAAGTAAAAAACAAGAAATTAAAACATACTACTAGAAAAAAATTCAAATAACCACAAAGGAAGACAGCAAGAGAGAAAGAAAAGAAAAAGAATCTACAAAACAACTACAAAACAATGACTGAAATGGCAGTATTAACTCCATACCTATCTGTAAGTACATCGAATTTGTTGGATTAAATTCTTCCAAAAAAAAAAAGAGCAGAGTAGTTGAATGAATTAAAAATAAATAAATAAATAAAAGTAAAAGGAAAGAAAAACCAGTTGGTTTTCTTTTCTTTCTCTTGTAGTATGCTGACTAGAAGAGACTCCCTTCATCTTTAAGGATACCCACAGACTGAAAGTGAAGGAATGGAAAAATATATTGCACACAACTGAAAACCGAAAGAAAGCAAGAGTTCCTAGACTCAGAAAAAAATAGGCTTTAATGCAAAAACTGTAAAGACAATAGAGAAGGACCTTATATAATAATAATGGAGTCACTTCAGCAAGAGGACATAACAATTGTAAATACATATGTACCCAAATCAGAACACCTAAATACATAAAGTAAATATGAATAGTTCTAAAAGGAGAGATTAACGGCAATACAATAGTAGTAAAAGATTTTAATATGACATTTTAAAAAATAAACATATCATCTAGACAGAAAATCAACAAGGAAACATTAGACTTAATAATGATCTAGGCCAAATGGAAATATATATATGTAGAACATTCCATCCAACACATTCTTCTCTACTACATGTAAAATATTCTCCAGGACAGATCATATATTAGCCTACAAAACAAGTCTTAAAAAATTTAAGATTCAGCCAGGCATGGTGGCTCACGCCTGTAATCCCAGCACTTTGGGAGGCTGAGGCAGGTGGATCTCATGTGGTCAGGAGTTCGAGACCAGCCTGGCCAACATGGTGAAATCCCTTCTCTACTAAAAATACAAAAAAAAAAAAAAAAAAAAAAAAAAAACAGCTGGGTGTGGTGGCACATGCCTGTAATCCCGGCTACCTGGAAGGCTGTGGTAGAAGAATCACTTGAACCTGGGCGGTGGAGATTGCAGTGAGCCGAGATCGTGCCATTGCACTCCAGCCTGGGCAACAACAGTGAAACTCTGTGTCAAAAAAAAAAAAAAAAAAAAAAAGATTGAAATCATATGAACTATCTTTTCTGACCAAAATAGTATAAAAATAGATATCAGTAATAGCGGAAACTTTAGAAAATTCACAAATGGAAATAAAACAACATGCTCCTGAACATGCTCCTTAACAAGAGTTAAGAGCAGCCTGGGAAACATAGTGAGACCCTATTTCTACAGAAAAAAAAAAGTTAGCCAGGTGTGGTAGAATTTGTAGAATTTGCTTATAGTACAAGGAGGCTGGGGCAGGAGGAGCGCTTTAGCCCAGGAGTTTGAGGTTATAGTAAGCTATGATTATACCACTGCATTCTAGCCTGGACAACAGTGCAAGACTTCACTTCAATTGAAAAAAAAAAAAAAGGAAGGAAGAAAAATGAAAGAAAAATTATAAAATTTCTTGACGTGAATATAAATGGATACACAACATACCAAAACCTATGAAACACAGCAAAAGCAGTACTAAGAGGGAAGTTTATAGCAGTAAGTGTCTACATCAAAAAGTAAAAAGATTAACAATAAACAATCTAATCATGCACCTCATGGAACTAAAAAAGCAAAAACAGACCAACCCCAAAATTATAAATCAATGGAAATATTAAAAATCAGAGCAGAAATAAATGAATAGGAACTACAAAAAATAAAAATAAAAAAGCAACAAAACAAAGAATTGGCTTTTGAAAAGATAAACTCAACAAATCATTGAGGGGTCCAAGTTCTTTAAAGAAGAAGACTCAAATAAATAAAATCCAAAAACATTTAAAAAGACATTACAACTGACATCACAAAATACAAATGATCATGAGAGATTATTACAAACAATCATGTGCCAGCATATTGGATAACCTAGAAGAAACAGATACATTCCTAAATATACTCAACCTACCATAATTGAATTATAATGAAACAATATCAGTAATAAAAAGTCTGCCATCAAAGAAGAGCCCAGGACCTGATGGTTTCACAGCTGAATTCTACAAAACAGTTAAAGAACAAATACCAATTATTCTCAAACTCTTCCAAAAACTGAAGAGGAAAGAATACTTTCAAACTCATTTTACAAGGCCAGCATTACTCTGATACCAATACCAGACAAAAACACAAAAATAAAAGAAAATTACAGGCCAATATCCCTGATGACCATAGATGCAAAAGTCCTCAACAAAATACTAGCAAATGGAGTTCAACAGCATATTAAAACGATTATCCCAGGGATACAAAGATGGTTCAACCTAATGTATGTCAATAAACCTGATACATCACACTAACAGAATAATCATTTCACTTGATGCAGAAAAAGCATTTGACTAAATTTGACAAAACTCAACATCCCTTCATGATAAAAACCCTCCACAAATTAGGTATACATGAGACCAGGCACAGTGGCTCATGCCTGTAATTCTGGCACTTTGGGAGGCCAAGGCAAGAGGATCCCTTGAGCTTAGGAGTTTGAGGCTAGCCTGGCAAAATCCATTCTCTACAAAAAATACAAAAATTAGCTAGGCATGGTGGTGACTGCCTGTAGGTCCAGCTACTTGGAAGGCTGAGGTGAGAGCACCACTTGAGCTTGGGAGGTTGAGGCTACAATGAGCCATGATCATGCCACTACATTCCAGCCTGGGTGAAAGAGCAAGACCGAGTCTCCAAAAAAAAAAAAAAAAAAAAAAAAAGAATGTATATAGATATATATATACCTATATTATCTAGATATATAGACAGACACATATATTTGAAAATAAAATTCCATTGTTTTCTACATTCCTTCAAAGTCATTGTCTGATGTATATTAAAAATATTACTAATAATAGGAAATTCACAGGCAGTCAGGTTACTGGAAGTCTTCAAACAAACACAGGAAGTGTGCTACAATACACATGAGTTTTGAATAGATTTGGGTTAGAGTCACAAGCCCAATTATCAATAGGATCTTCATAAAAATCTTAACTAATTAAGATTAACTTTTTAAAAATGAACCATTTATTAAGCATTTAGTAAATGCAAGGCTCTGTGCTAAGCTACTAGTACACATTACTTCACTTAATTCTTCCAACATCCTGTGGGGTAAGTATTAATACCATCATTATGTTCACTTTAAAGATAAGCAAATCAAGGTTTAGAAAATTTAAGTTACCTTTTAAATTCACGTAAACATTATGCACCAAGCAGAAATTCTATCTTGGGTCCAATGCTCATGTGTTAATCACCACCTTCTACTGCTTGACTTCTGGTGGTGAAGTTCATGAAAGTAGACCACACAAAGCTCTGTAAGTGATGTGGTGCTAAAGGCCAGTCCCACAGAGGGCTTAAAAAGGCAGTAGGTTTTTAAAATACAGTATCTTAGTGCTACATTAACTGAAGCCTTTTATGTACCAGGCACCACAAGAAATACTATTTCTAGTCCTCCTATGACATGAGTTTTATGATCTTCATGATTTAGGAAACTGAGGCTTAGAGAAGTAGATAGGGCAATGTCTGGATCTGAAGGCTCAAATCTCTTAGCTGGAGGAGATCTTGAATTGGTATTTCTCTAGGTTCATTCAGTAGGGTAGACTCATTAGATATTAACAAAAATGCAAACAAACTCTAAGATATAGGACCACCCTTAGGCCACTGGCAATTGAGCTACTGTCCGCCCCCAAGGCCACTTGGGAGCACTGGGAGTGTTGCCTGGGCTCTACCCATCCCTGACTTCTTTCCAACTAACCACTGATCAACCCAATGGTTCCAAAATGTCTCATAATATTGGCAACGATTTTATGAACTGATTCTTTCAAGAATGCTGTGAGAAAAGACAAATGCTTCCTATTTGGAATATGAAAAATTGAAGTATTAAGATACTCACATTCAAGTCTGTACACTCCAGGCCCATAGCCCATCTCACTACACACTGCTGCCTTATATAGAAGATAATCAATAAATCAATAAATAAAATTCATTGAGAAGATAAGTCTGACATTTAATCTTAATCTACTTTTGTGACCATGGGCAAGTTGCTTAATTTCTCTGAGCTCCAATTTTCTCATTTGTTCTAAGGAAATTATAGTAGTTGTAAATTGCTTAGCACACTGCATAGTAACAGTAAATATCATTTACTTATCAGTGATTTCCTAAGGGTAGACAGAGAAAGAAGCAGAGCCTCTCAGTCAGAAACTAGACACATTTTCAGCTGTATTAGATTTTGCCCAATTGCACTTTAAAGTAATTGATGCCATTCACTACTTCCACCATGCTCAATATTCTCACCAACTTTTGCTATTGTCCGATAGAGGGAGCATGGTATATCTCATGGTTATTTATAGTTCCCACAGTTGGAGAAATTAAGCATCTTTTCATGGGACTAAGGGTCATCAGATGTTGAGGGTTGTCCTGTTTTATTCTTTTTTTTTTTTTCAGTGAAACTGTCTTCTTATGGACTTACAGGAATTTTGTACTAGTCTAGAAATAAATCCTTTATCAGTTACATAAATTACAAATTTCTTCTCCTGGACTATAGCTTCTCTTTTAATTACCTTTTTCATATAGGAGCTACTTTAATTCCACAAATTATTACTCTTGTCCTTCAAGGTTTTTGCTTTTGTGTTGGTTTAAAAAATAGTGCCTATCTCATAAGCTTATTATGATAAGTTAAATGAATTAACACTTTGAAAGTATTCAGAACAGTGCACAGTACAAGTAAGTGCTATATAAGTGTTAAATAAACAAAACTACACTAACATTTGTGGGGAGGCAAACTGTTGGCAGGGAAGCAGAAGACACTAGAGAAGAAGAAGTTTTTAGGAACAAAAACTTGGTACAGGGGTGCATTCCATACATGCATTACCTATACGAAATGTCCCTTTGGACAAATCTGAGTAAATCCAAATCAAACCAACAAGGCTCTGTAAGATCCAGCCTCGAGTCTACAATTCAGTAACTATAAACAGGCCTGTGACACTTCTGTAACCCACAGAGAAACAGCTGGAATTTGTTGGTCGGCATTTCTACCGTAAACAGAATCACAGATTTAATATTTCCTGTAATTTCCTCAGATCTTATTTCCTCTTAGGAATTATCTCTACATATTACTGATAAATTATGGTTAAAGTTATCTTTTCTCCCCCTAGCATTTATGAGCTCTCCATTGTCTGCATGTCAATTTGCAGGCCACACAAAAGATGGAGTAAGAGTCCAACAAGGAATCTAGGCACTGCTTTCAATCTCAAGATGGCTCAGTACATTCCATATAACTTGCTCTTAAAAACAACAGTTATGTGGGTTAATGTATTAAGATTCACAGTTATTATGAACACATTAACAATTCTCGTCCATACTAATCATTCACAGTTCAGACGTAAACTGTTTTTTGTAAAGATTCTGAATAAAATGTGGATCACATATTACAATGGTTTGGCCTGACCAGAATTGCTATGACCGTCCATACAACCTAAGCTGTGTGAATGGAAACATAATATAGGAAAGTTACCCACATTACCGACGTCTGGTCACACCTCACACCAGAGGCTGCTTATACTAAAAAATAAGTCTTTTTAATTAGGACCTCTTTGTGAAGAACTACTGGTAAAGTAATACCAAATTATTAAAGAAAAAATATTTAAATATCGACAGAGAGAAAAGAAGAAATAAAATCAACTATAACCTTACCACATAGAAATAATTTTGGTTTATGCATAATTTTAGCATTTTTGTATAAATTGTGGATGTTTACTTTTTATTCTTTTCTCCATACCATGATTCTGTAACAAATGTATATTTATAACATTAAAAAATGATCATAATGTTTTGTAACCATTTTAAACTTACCAGTCATATGTTCTGGTCCAGAAATAGTTACCTACTATGGCTGAAGAATATTCACTATAAGGGTCTATCATAAGTTACTTGAGCTAACCTGTGATATTTACATTTTATTTTCCTAAAATTTCTGAGTACTTCTTCAATAAACATCATTGCAGATACAGCTCTATACATGATCTTATTTCACTACAATCCATTCTTGGAAAGGGAAATCTTTTAAATATGTATCATTTTAAAACATTTTAATATTTATTCACGGAACAAGTTTCATTGAATTCCTAGTAAATACAAGGCATTGTGTAGGGTTACAGCAGTGAACAAAATAGACAAAAGTCCTCATCTCCAAGATTGCCAAAAAGAGAGATAAATGAATAAAATCTGTATTATCTGTGGAACTGCTATGGAAAAAAGTTAAGCAGAAAAATAAAGCCCTTTGTGAAGAGTTGCACTTTTTAACAGGGTAACTTAAGGTCTCAATGAGAAGAGTAAGTGTCAAATGCATTATATAAGCAGTTTCTCTCACCAAAACTCAGTATTATAATTTTTATCATTGATTTGATTATTTTCCAAGTGTTATAGGGAAAAAGGGGGCATCTCGCTGATTACTAATGCTTACAGTTATTTACACATCTTATTTTACAAAATCCCTGGTTATATCTTTTTGATGATTTTCTATTGGGTTATTATTTTCTTATAAATGTGTAGATGATTTTTATATTAAGTACGTTAGACCGGCTTTGTATTTACCTTAAGTTTTTATTGATGGTGGTTTTTAATGTGCAGAACTTCTAGAATACTTCTGGCTCTCAAGGACATAGGTAATGATAAAATTAGAATATCCCACAATTTCTCATTTGCTTTATTCTACATCATATACATAATAATCTCATAATAAATATCTTAATCCTACCACATATAGGAAATATTATATATATATAATATATATATCTTTTCTTGAGGTAGGGTCTCACTCTGTCACCTAGGCTGCAGCGCAATTGTGCAATCATAGCTCACTGCAGCCTGAAACACCTGGGATCAAGTGATCCTCACGGGTCAGCCTCTCGAACGGGTGGGACTACAGGTGCACGCCACCATGCCTAGTTAATTTTTATATTTTTTGTAAACACAGAGTTTTGTCATGTTGCCTAGGCTGGTCTCGAACTCCTTCCTGGCTTCAAGCAATCCTCCTGGCTTCAAGCAATCCTCCCACCTCAACCTCCCAAAGTGCTGGGATTACAGGCATGGGCCACTGCACCAGACTTGATTTTTTAAAAAATGTTGATTATGCTGCCCCCATGTTTAATGGTCATATTATATCTATGTGTCTACATGAAGTATATGCTCATTGCATATTCTGTTCTTACTCTTTGACTCTTATTTAGCCATTCTTGAGTGTGTGTCTCTGGGTGTATGTATGTGTGTATAAATTAAACACACCACCAATCTATAGATCACTACCTCTCCGGGCACTTTTGTGGTCTGAAGCTTATTCTCCAATACATTACTCAGTTATATGAACAGTAGTAACAAAAAATAAAATTAAACAATAGGGAAAAAAAATCAACCAGAAAATTAAAAGACGTGTACACTAAAAATTATACAACATTAATGTAGAATATTAAAGAAGATACAGAAATACACCCTATGTTCATGGATTAGAAGAAATAATATCAATAAAATGAGTATTTTATCCAAAGTAATCTACAGATTTAATATAAACCCTATCAAAATGTCAACGGCATTCTTTACAGAAATAGAAAAAGAAATCCAAGTATTTATATGGAACTATGAAAGACTATAGCCAAAGCAATCTTGAGCAGGAAAAGCAAAACTGGCGGCATCTCACTTCCCAATTTCAAAATAGATCACAAAACTACAAAAAATCAAAACAATGTGGTAATGGCATAAAAATAGACACATAAATCAATGGAACAGAATAGAGAGTCTAGAAATAAATCCATGCATCTACAGTGAAATGATCATCACAGGGATGCCACGAACATAGAATAGGGAAGAGATAATCTCTTCAAAAAATGGTGGTGAGAAAACTATATATCCACAGGCAGAAGAAAGAAATTTGACTTGTATCTGACACCGTACACAAAAATCAACTCACAATGGATTAAAGACTAAAACATAAGACATAAAACGATATAACTAATAGAAAAAGATGGGGGGAAAGTTTCCTAATATTGGCCTGAGAAACAATTTTTTAGATTATGGCCATAAAAGCACTAGCAACAAAAGCAAAAATAGACAAATGAGATTATATCAAACTAAAAAGTCTCTGTACAGCAAAGAAAATAATCAATTGAGTGAAGAGATGATGTACAGAATGAGAGAAAATATTTACAAACCATATATTTAAGGGATAATCTTCCAAAATATATAAGGAACTAATACATCTCCATAGCAAATATAAATAAATAACCCAATGTAAAAACAAGCAAAGGACTTAAATAGGCATTTCATAAAAGAAGACGTACAAATGACCAACAGATATATAAAAAGGTGCTCAACTTCGCTATGTCAGGGAAATATTAATCATAGTCACAGGGAGATATCACCTCAAATCTGTTATAATGACTGCTATCAGAAAAAAATAACAAGTGTGGCAGGGACATAGAGAAAAGGGAACTCTTCTCACTGTTGGTGGGAATGTAAATTGGTACAGCCATTTTGACAAACAGGGAAGCTCTCAAACATTAGAAATAGAACTACTTTGTAATTCAGCCATCTCACTTCTAGGTATACAGTCATACATCACTTAATACAGAAATGCATTGCTAAGTAATTCATCATATAAGAACACGTACATGGAGTGTACTTACACAAACCTAGATGGAACAGCCTACCACACACCTAGGCTATAAGCTATAGTCTATTGCTGCTAGGCTACAAACCTGTACAGCATGTTATTGTATGAATATTGTGTCTAAACATATCTAAACAAAGAAAAGGAACAACAAAAATTCATTATTATAATCTTATGGGACCGCTATGCTACATTCAGACTGTCATTGATTGAAACACTGTTATGTGGTACATGATTATATACCCAAAAGATATGAACCGGTATCTCAAAGAGATATCTTCACTCTCATGTTCATTTCAGCATGCTTAACAAAATCCAAGATAAGAAAACAACCTAAGCAAGTGTCCATCAGTGGATAAATGGATAAAGAAAATAAGGTGCACAAACATATATATGTGTGTGTATATATATAGGTACACATACACACACACAGTGGACTATCATTCAGTCATAAAAAATAAAGAAATTCTGTCATTTGCTGAAACACAGATGAACCCAGAGGACAATATATAAAGTTAAATAAGTCAGACACAGAAAGACAAATACTATATGACCTCATATATATGTGGAATTCCATATATATATCGAATCGATTTGATTTGACATTATATGGTATATTAACATGGATTAGATTAATATTAGATTTGATTATGGGAGAGGGATATCTTGCTCAAGGGGTACAAAGTTTCTGTTATGAGGACAAATACGTTCTGGAGATATAGTAAACAACGTGACTGCAGTTAACGATACTTTATTCTGTACTTGAAATTTGCCAAAAGGTTAGATCTTCAGTTAACTACACACACAAAAACAGTGCTAACCTGCTGCAGTGAAAAATGTGTATATTAGCTTGATTGTGGTGATTACTTCAAAATGCATATGTATATCAAATCACAACACTGCACCCCTTAAATATATACAATATTTATTTGTTAAATACACCTTTAAAAAACCCAGCAATACATCTTTAAATAGGCGAGCCAGGATTTGTCTCCATCATGACCTTACAGTATCTTAAGTCTTTAAGCCTTAGTTTCATCATCAATAAAAGCACATAATGATGATTCCTACCTCGCGCAAGTTTCGTGAAGTTTAAATAAAATATATGTGATGTAAATTAAAGCCTTATTTTTGTGCCTGGCACAGGTAGTAAGTACTAGATAGAAATTAGGAGGCCAGACATGGTGGCTCATGCCCATAATTCCAGTGCTTTGGGAGGCTGAGGAGGGAAGATCACTTGAGGCCAGGAGTTCAAGACAAAGCTAGGCAACAAAGCAAGACCCTGTCTCTGGAAAAAAAAATTTAAAAAATTAGCCAGGCATGGTGGCGTATGCCTGTAATGCCTGTAGTACCAATGACTCAGGAGGCTTAGGCAGGAGGATCCCTTGAGCCCAAGAGTTTGAGGCTGCAGTGAGCTATGACTGCACCTCTGCCCTCCAGCCTGGGCAACACAGCAAGAACCTCTCTCCTAAAGGTGGGGGAAAAAAAAGCCCAAACAATAATTTGTTGGGGATGCTGTTGTCAGACTTCTTGCCCTAAAATCTATTTGTTCTCTATTGACATACTGGAAAGATTAATAATCAAGCTAAAGTCACTTCAACTGCACATTCAGACTCTAAGCAACATATCAAACATAACCTAAATTCAAGTATATGGTAATGGAAAGCAACACGCCAGAATATACAAGCCTACAACTTCTCTTTGATTTTTCTGTTTTGAAACCCTATTTTTAATATGTCCCCACTGAATTTAATTTAAACTTATTAAAATAAAGAAATTTTCAAGTGAAGCATAAAAATTTACTATTTTACATTTACCCATTTTCTCATTTGCTGCCTTCCATGCATAAATTAGTCTTAGGAATGGGAACATTATTTTCTTACTGTACATAATACACCAACATGAAAATGGTATACAGAAAAGAGGCATAGGATAGAAAATGTTATTTTTTATTCCAAAAGATTCCAAAGGTAGAATAAATTTTGCCGACAATGTCATTCCACCCAAGGAACCCTGAAGAGAGGTAATCCAACCCGCTTTTGCATGTATACAGTACAGGAAGTGCTCTTCCAGGAAATACTACTACATTCAGAAAGAAGTCACTTTTGGAAATCTCTAAATAAGACTCCAACTCCCCAGTCTTGCTGCTCTCTGTCCACCCTCCCTAACTCCACCCAGACTAGTCTTGTTTCCTTTAAATTATTCATTTCCTTTAAATGACTCCTAAAGATGATATCTCTATTTACAGAACTATCACTCAAATAATTCAAATATTTTATAAATATGAATGTATAATATGATAATAAAATCCAATAAAATTGGCCTTGAGGATGTTATCTTTCCTATACATATAGCATTATTATGAGAAACATGGAAGTAATTTATCTCAAATACTGTTTCTCTATATTAATTGAAGAATAAACACATTAAAGCTAAGATGAGTGCTCTCATTTGCAAAAACTAGTTTAAATGTTGTTTGTGATATTAAAAGCCGACATTTGGCTGGGCGCAGTGGCTCACACCTGTCCCAGGAGGACTCCAAGTACAGGGACTACTGAGGAGGCTGAGGCAGGAGAATCACTTGAACCTGAGAGGCAGAGGTTGCAGTAGGCAAGATTGTGCCATTGCACTCCAGCCTTGGCAACAGAGTGAGACTGTCTCAAAAAAAAAAAAAGAATGAGAACTATAAATCTTTTCATTCAGTTTGATTGAATCATTCCATTTGTACAGTAATATTCAATATAATAATATTCTCATGACAATAAAATTCTAATAACAATAAAAATTTTAAATGCCCTAAATGCCAAAAAAAATCAAAATCCCTTAGTATACTATGAAATATTTATACAACAGGGTAGTATATGAGCCAATTGAAGTAAAAAATACAACCAATGTACACAAAATACTTGATACCATATACACAAAGAACGTTAAGCAAACGCAAAAAAAGAACTCACAATTGTTATGTGCATATGATTACATCTAACTATGCATATAAATTAAGAGAACTCCAAAAACAATTTGTGAAGAAATTTTTTCCCTCATCATCATATTTTTTTTCCTCAACGGTTTCCAAATCTTTTAAAAAAAATGGCAGATAATTAAAGCAGTCTCATGGCTTAATAGAGAGTATGTGGTGCTCCACTAACTGTAAGCACTGTGGGGCAGGAAACAGCCTCACTTGTTCCCTGTTCCACATAGCCTTGACACAGAGCCTGACATTTGACAGCTGATATTGTTATAGCATATACTATGTGTAAGGCACTGTTTTAAGTACTTTACATAGACATAGACACAGACATATACATAGACATAGACATTTAATTCCTATAACATAAGTACTACTATCATCCCCATTTTACATATGAGGGGCCTGAAGCATAGAGACATTTAAATGATTTACCAACATGACAGAGTTAGCAAGAGCCAGGATTAGAACTGAGACAGTACGAGCCCCAGAATCCATGCTCTTACCACCCCATCCCACCCCCCTGCTATACCACCTCAGTAAAAGAGGAGGTGAGCAATAAAGGGTGGATGAATTTTAGGATGGATGGATGAATGAAACAATCAATTGATGGATTGATAGATAATTTGATAGACTTATTTATAGATCAATTATTTGGGTTCACTCTCTCTGAACATGGGAAAGGAAACTGACTTAGTAGTGAGCACCTCTCTGCTCTGACACTGTTAGGTGCTTTCACATATTTCTTACTGAATCATAGTAACAATCCTGTAATATGCCTCATATTGCCTCGTTTTAAAGATGTGGAAACTGGATTTTGTAAATTTGATGTTAATTCTTGGAAAAATCCTGGGATTCGAAATGATGCTTCACAGAGTTCAAGCTCAATACATACTCATTGAATGAAAGATTGTAAAGTACTCTTTTGAAGTTTAGAAAAGGAAATAGTAAGAATTAGTCACCAATATGGTTTCCTTAAAGCAAATAATGCCAAGCCAATCTCATTTTCTATTTTGCTTGGTTTTAAACAGGTATATGAGGGATATACTATGGACAAAGTATTCCTGGATTTCACCGAAGTTACTAACAAGGTCATTCAAAATATCTTCGTGAACAAGACGGAGAAATGCAGTTTGCATAATGACACAAATGTGTGAATTTGAAGGCAGTCAAATAATACAACCAGAGCTTTCAGTTTCAACCTCAGGTAGTGAGGATGGTGTCTATTGCTGAACCCAAACAAGGACTTGGATGATGTCATGTTGGTCAGATTCGTGAAAAACAAGAAGCTAGCAGAGACAGCAATCATGTTGGTTTAAACAAGGATGATTTTATTTTAAACAGAGTGAATAAAAAATGTACTTTACCATGAAGGCACAGGAGAAATACGGTTTAGGAACTGCTAAGGTTTTGTTTAAAAGGTGATTTAGTAATGGGCACCCAATGCAAGTCAACGTGGCACATAGCTTCCAAAAAGAGTGAAAACTTAGACTTCATTAAGTGAACTCTGTTACTCAAGACAAGTTAACTACCATCACACTATGCTGCTGCCCTGGCAGACCCCTACAATATGCAGTACTTATCAAGTGCTTGCCATGTGCCAGGCCCTCTACTGTATTCACACATTTAATTCTCTCGACAATTTTAAAGGTAGGAATTACTATTATAAGCTCATTATCCCCAATTTATAGATGAAAAAATTCTGAAACACAGAAGTCACATAACTAATGTCTTAATAGGACAGGGCAAGTATTGAAAGCTGAGCAGTTTGATTCAAGCTTCAATGCTACCATGATTGCATTTAGCCTTTCTTGTCTTCTGACACTCAGAGCTGTAGAGGCTACAGATGCCCCATCCCACATCCCCTGACCAACCTGAGCTGGTCTGGGTTGTCTATTGTTTACTGGAAGTATAAACAGTTCCATGCTGCTGACAGCTTTCCTTTCCAAACGCCTGCACCTCTTCTTTGCATGTGGCTTTTCCCAAAACTATGCGAGTGTGCTGGATGGCACCTCCAGGGGAAACCATCAAACACTGGAGGATAGTAGTTGGGGGATAAATGCCCTAACATCCACACCCTCTGGTTACATGATTCCAAAGTATGTACACACAGTTTTTAGACTGTTCCCAACATGACTGAGCCCCAGCTACCCAAAATGGCAAACTGTTTATCTGCCTCACTTCCCTGCCCCTCTGCCCCCCACACTCAATACCATTTCTTGGAATCCTCTCCCTAAAAAATTAATGGTACCCAAGACCCCAGATTCGTTTTGCTTCTAGGCAAACCCTAACATACTACTCTATGCTGTTTCTGAATCTTCTCAAATCTTCTATTAACTGTGTCATTTAGTAATTAAGTAAACTACTTTAAATAATTTATATTTTTCAGCATAACATGGGTATCCCTGACATTAATTAAACATTCCTTGATTGTTTTATGTTACCAGCTAAACTACAGCTTGACATAGGGAAAGGGGGAGAAGCGGGCATGATTTTCCTCCAGGTGGCCTACCAAACATAATAGTAGCTGAGAGAGAGAGAGAGAAGGGGAAATGGTAAAAGAATGGGGGAGAAATATGAGACAGAAATTTTACATTTAATCACTATAACTCAAGTAAAAGTTAGGTTTTTACCCACCCTGTCAGCCACCCAAGGACTCTTACTTACCTGATTGGCCACCCTTGGACTCCATGCACCAAATTATAAAACTAGACCATTTGCAATAATATCTCTGAGTGAGTTCCTAAATTAATTTCTTTTTGGATATGCCCCAAGGGGGTTATTTGCATTCAAACATGTAACTCAAACTGAGCTGGCAAATTAGAAAACAATTACTTGTCCCTGGTTAAATCATGCCACCATTTTTTTTTTCTGCTCCTCCTAGTGCATTTGTGGATCACAGCCACACTCTTCTAACTTTCAGAGGACTTTTGGGAGGGGGTCAAAAGTACTATCAAAAACTCAGTCCCTGCTGCTAACCGATAGAAGGAACATTTCAGACTCAGAAACACCTTAGGCTTAGAAACATGGAGTGGGAAAAATAAAGGCTACTTAAGAGAGTATACTAAATGCAATCTTAACTTTTAACTTTAATGCACTGAAAAATAATATTTCAATCAAATATCACATCCAACTACTATTGCTATTGGGATAAAGTGATATATTTAGTAAAAATGACGTAACCAACTATCAGAAAATGATTGACATTTCTCAAATGTACAGCTTTTGCATGTGCATGTTGCTTTAAGATGCTTCATATGATTACTGTTAAAATAAGTATGTAAGATTTATTGAACAATACAGTAAACAACCACAAACAGCATGCATAAATTGTTAGTGGATTCGGCTACTTATGGCAGAAGTCATTGGTGGACTGTGTTTCATCAGAACATTCACTCTCCCACTGAAAAATGAAACATTTTGTAATACACAAACAAGAAACATGGTTCTTTTCCCTCTTACTGAGTTTATACTTTCCTTCCCATAGAAAAATCAAAGAAAGAAAAATATACAACTTTCTCAATGCATTTGTAAGGAAGAAAACTACAACTGAAAAGAAGTCAATTGTATAACACATTATTATAAGAATTTAGCCATTTCTCCTGAGTAACATAAAGCTAGAAAATACTCAGATACATGTGGCATTGATATTCACGCAAAGTGAAAGTCAAGAACATGAATTAATAACAGAAGGCATTTCCATAAATCAATAACAGAAGGCACTTCTTACCTATATTTTGACCTCCATGTTCTGTGCCATTATGGGCTCTCAACGACAAAAGGCTACAAATAAAACTGCTGATAGTGCTCATCAGCTATGTCAGATCCCTGAAGTTTTTATTATTATTATTATTATTATTGGCATTATGTGGTTTGCTCTCTTAAAAATGGATGTATATTCCAAAGCTATTTGTTAGCTTCATCAATTCATTGATTACTGAGATGTTCACATTAAAAAACGTGGAAAACAGTGGGAAATATAAAGATGTGAAACAATTACCTATAATTCTATGGAGAGACAACCACGGTTAATATTAGCTTTACTTCCTTCTTTGGTGCTATTCCTTTATGCCGTTGCTAGCATAGTTTATAATTATGCCTTTAAATTAGTCTGATGTAATAAGCATTTCCCATGCAGTAAAAAAGATCTGTGGCAAATTTAATTTTTAGTGAATACAGAATATTCCAAAGTAAGCTTTTATTTGTTTCTCTAATGCCAGATGTGTATGTGCTTTGCACTATTTCATGATTGTGAACAACTCTGCAATTGTGTACTTATCATTGTCTTTATCTTGATTCCTCTAAAGACATTTACGTAGGACTCCAAGAATGAATATTTCAAAATAGAATTATCGAGTCACTAAGAATGACACTTTAAGGCTCTATATGCCTATTGAACAATTGCTTTTTGCACAGCAGGGAATGAACCTGTATGTCTTACTATGTCTTACGCAACACTAATTATTATTCATTTTTATAAGCATGTGAATGATTAAAAAGAGAAAAACATGTTTCAGCCATTTTATTTGGTTATATTTAATTTCTAGTAAGACAATACTTTTCATACATGAATTTGACCTTACGTTTTCAGTTTTTGTGAAGTATTTCAAGTTAATACATTGAGGTTGTTATAATTTTTTACTGACCTATTTTAATAGTCTCTTTGTAAAATAACTACTATTATCTGCAGTTATTCTTGGAAATATATTTCCCACCTTATATTTTCAATTTATTTATGTTGCTTTAACATTAGAATTGTTCTACCATATAGCAGGGATTGTTATCTCCAGTACTTAAAAAACAATTTCATGTATACTTGAAGATAAACTTTAGAATTTGTTAAATTCTGAAGATAATCCTCTTGAAATGGTGTTTTGAATTTTGTGAAAGTTAATATGAGAAAATTTTACATCTTCACTATAATATTTAGTCTTCCTAGCCAAGAAAGTTGTATAGGTTTTTTGTATGTAAGCCCCATACACATCTTGTTACTGTTATCCCTAGATATGTTGTATTTCATTGCTGCTGTTAACCATGCATATAATCTCTTCTTCATTACATTTTGAATTATATAGGCAAGTACATTGATTTCATATTTGGTCAGATGCTTAACTCTATAACTTATATACAGTTTAAAATTTTTATTTTAAATATTATTATTTTAATTTTATATTTAGTATTTTAGTACTTTTTTTAGTCTAAGAAATGTAACCATTTAAGTAAACAACCTGTGCTTGTTAGTGTGCATTCAGAGACCCATTTTATCCTCTATTTTAGATAACAGAATGTTAAATTATATACAATTATGTTTTTCACAATTTCTCTCACTTTCTCATAATTCCAAATTTCTGTGTTTTAGAATATATTTGTATATTTTGATGTGTTTAAAAAGTAAGTTGAAACCAACAATTACTCCTATTTTTCAAATACATTATCTATCAATGGCCACCAAAAAGGGCCAATCCTGGAGCCACAAAGATCCAGGCCAGCATTTTGATGTTCCTTTTTTGTTTCCGTTCATTAAATTGAACAGAGTACTGAGACTTAAATAAACTCAGACATTCCAATGTCTGGATTTTTTCTCTTTCCAAAGTTAGCAAATGAGAAAAGAAAAACAATTCACAATAGAGGAAAGAAAAATCATTTAAAAAGGAAAATGTAAATTTATAAATTTAGAGATTTAAGTTGTGTACATATGATTCTGTGTATGTGTGACAGAGAGAGAAAGACAGAGAGAGAGAGAGAGAGAGAGAGAGAGAGAGACTGTTCACTTAGTTTCTTTTCCTAGCCAGGAATATTGTAAACATAAAATGTGTAGTTAGAGAAAAGGAGAATAAGCAATTATTCCGTGAGTGCTATGGAAAAGACATTGATAATCAGAAGATAGCAATCTGAGCCTCATCAATGAGCTGTGTGAACTGGGGAAAACATGACAAACTAGAACTAAGGTAGGTACCGTCAGCCAATGGAAGCAGTGAGCAACATGCCAAAACTACTGCAGATTGTCCAGGTGAGGATGGCCAGAAGCAGCTGGTCAACAGGGAATGATCCAGAACGCTAAACAGCTGGTGGAAATCGGGACTCAGCAGGGATGTCATCTGTCAGCACTGGGAGAGAGGTGGTGTCGGCCCTTACTAGAAACATCAGTTGATGCAAGATCAAAGACTCAAGCAAAGTCCATGCTGGAGAGCCAAAGCTAAGAGGAGATAAGAATAGAACCCAAGTGGGCAAAGTACAGAGCAGAACTCAGTCTGACCCAAAGGCAAGCAGGAAATTGGGCAGGACAGGGATGAGTCAGGGAGTCCGAGGAGCAAACCAGATTTGACTGAGTCAAACTCCAGATTCTCCATCCATTTCCAAAGTCAAGAGCGAAATAAGGTCAGCCAGAAAAGTCTGGAGAGCTGTACCTTCCCCCTCCCAAAAAAGAAGGCCTTTAGCATTGACTTGTGGAGTCTTCCACCACGTTTCAAGGGATCTTTGGCCCGTGATACTATTAATTCTAAGTTCTCACATTTAGGAAGGGGTTAAATTTGATGATATCCAAACTTCTATCCAGCTCCCCAAGTGTTTAGGACTCTAACATTCTATAAATCTAAAAATACACATTAAGTTCCAAAGGAGAAACGAGGGTATTAAATGTTTTATCCAGGGAAATAGAGTTTACTGGACTCCCTCCCATCACCATCATCCCCTCCGTATACAAACATATAAATATCCCACAACCACCACCTAATTCTTCCTCCTAAAAGGTAGTGTGGAATGGTTTATAGCCCTCTTGGAAAAAAAAAACTGAGATGACATTCCATTCCATACTGACTCACTTTTAAGTCTTTAGACATCATTTGATTCTCAGTCACAAAGAATTCTCCTAACAGGGTGGAAAAAGCCCTGGTCACGAGGAGATTGCCTGGAGTTGCAGTGGTTCCCTTTGCATTCTCTAAGCCAAAGGGATGCTTTCCAGAGCTGTGTTTCTTTCTTTCTTTTACCCTCCGGGCTGATTTTATAGTAACAAAACACAGCCACTTAAATCTATCTCCAAATAACCAACATTCAGAAAATGTACCACATAAAATATAGACATTTTACAAGGGACCATCTATTAGCTGATAATGGCAGCACTGCCAAGGAATGCATAAGAAAACAAATGTGACCCTCACCAAACATCAGATCCATTTATCCAAATTAGCCCCTCTACAGTGAATGCCATGATATGATTCAAAGAATTATGAGGGGTTGGGAGGAGGTTACAATAAACTAAATATGTAGGTTGAGGATACATATAAAGCTTATGAAATGCAGCCTCATAAGACATTAATAGAAGTCAGAAAAAAAAGTTGGCAGAAGAGATTTTAAAATGTGATCATATGGAAAAAAGAATATTAAACCAACTCAAAAAGTTTCAGAGGGTGAAAACAATAAGTTTCTCTATGTATATTAAAAACATGTAGATATGGGAGAGTGGATGGTTGCCAGGTTGAGGGAAAGGTGGAATTCATCGGATTTAAAAGACACTTCCATAACCTCTCAGCCCTTGGCAAATGTGTCAGGAAGGGGATCTTCATCTCTGGGGCTCCTAACTGCTCTCAGCTTCTCATTTTGTCCCTCTTCACTTACCTTAGGCAGCCAGTGTTTGGAAGATTCCTCTGTTTTCTCCACATTAAAATCTAAACTGAGGCAAAGATCTGGGAAAATGTATTTACACTAAGGAATCAGAGTTCAAGCTTTAACCCTCCCTGCGCTGTTTGAAACTTAAGAGTATACAGACTTTTAACCCACCCCCACTCCCCCACAAAATCTTTAATGGTAAAACCTCTGAAATCAGCAAACTATGTGTAAGGAAGAATTATCTTTCATGGAATAAAGTTTCCTTCCATGCCTTCTAAACTGTATTACATAGGTAACCACTGATAAAAATCCTCCCTGTTCTCTAAGAAAACTTGTGCTCAATAAAGCCTTCATGCAAATAAGTGAAATCCAATTAAGACTGTACTACATAATACCCATTTATTGTTTAATTTTAAAACAGTTCAAAGTGTGAAAAGCAGAGTAGGGGCAGAAAGATGGGGTAGGCCAAAAAAGGAAGGAGGGAGGAATAAAATTGAGGATTTAGGAAAGGGGGAAAGGCCAAGGAAGGTGACACAGATGTTAGAAATTAAACATGAGAAAATAAAAAATAAGGAAATTACAGATATTACTTAACTGAAAAGTCAAACAGTTTTCAGGAAGGCTAGAGATACCAAATAAAACAGTGAAAAACGTACACATAAAAATGGCACAGGAGAAGTCATGGGTGTATTTTACTAAAGTGCTTAAAGATATGGGCTGAAGCTTTTCGTGGAGGCTATTAACACAGGGTAGCAATTAAGGAACACGCAAAAAGTGTTTCATTCTTTATGAAAGTACAGACACAAGTGCAAGAAATAACTCAAGTGGAGTGTTCACAAATTCCAAGTTCATTACCCACAACGCAGAACAAGTGTCTCTTGAAAGGGAATAGAATAGGGGCTATTAAGGTACTCTTTTAGTTAAAAAAAAAAAAAAAAAGAAAATGAGTACTATTAATAGTCTTAATTAGGAAATTAGTACAAAGTAAAATGTATTCCTAAGTCCTATGAGCTATTTTTATTTTTTCAAAAAGTTGAACAAATTATTTATCCACCTACAAAAAGGCCATGCAGGCTAATGAAAATGTCATGCTTTGCTTTTGGTAGAAGTAAATTACTACTATAATACTAGTTACGTCATCCTTATTAGGATGTCTGATTGGCAGTTAAAAATAACTTTGTAAACACAAATTGTGAAAGTTGAGTCTTATAAGAATTACAGTTTGGCAGAAAAAAAAATCTTGGAAATGAGGTTCATGAATTTAAAACTAATATAGAAATTGCTAAAGCAAACAATTGGGGAAGTAAAGTTTATGATTTTCCAGGATTAAGATCTTCCTCAGATAGGTCTCAAAAATAGAAAGAATGAATAAGACCTAGTATTTGCTAGCACAACAGAGTAGCTACAGTAAAATATAATTTCACTGTACATTTTTAAATAACTAAAAGAGTATAACTAGATTGTTGAGACACAAAGGATAAATGTGTGGGCTGATGGATACCCCCATTATAATGATGTGATTATTACACATTGCATGCCTGTATCAAAATATCTCATGCTACCCATAAATTTATAGACGTACACTAGGTACTCCAAAAATTAAAACTTTTTTAAAAAAGATTTTCCTCAAATAGGCTGAGTACTGCTGCATGCTCAAACTGTGCTGGCTGTTTTCATGCTTTTTTTTTTTTTTTTTTTTTTCTTTTTCTTAGAGTCTTGCTCTGTCGCTAGGCTGGAGTGCAGTGGCACGATCTTGGCTCACTGCAACCTCCGCCTCCCAGGTTCAAGCAATTCCCCTGCCTCAGTCTCCCAAGTTGTTGGGACTACAGGCGTGCACCACCATGCCCAGCTAGTTTTTTGTATTTTAGTAGAGGTGGGGTTTCACCATGTTAGCCAGCATGGTCTCGATCTCCTGACCTCATGATCCACCTGCCTCAGTCTCCCAAAGTGCTGGGATTACAGGCGTAAGCCACCGTGCCCGGCCCGTCTGTTCTGGTTTTTAATCCTCTTTGTGATGTAGGTATTTTTACACGTATGATATATGAGAACCTGAAGCTCAAGGCTGATCACTGAAAGACTAGGATCTCAAATTCAGATCTTCTTATATTGTATGACCACGATACAGGTTCTCTAGTTCATTCAAAGTCCTCACTTCCAGCTACCACTGCTCTTTTCTGTTTTGTAGAACCTGACATCGTGGATCCTTGCTTTTTCCCTTTGGTCAGTTCTGCCACACTTGGATACCTTGCCCATCATTGCTTCACATGTTCACTGACTGAGAGAACATTTACTGAGTGCCAAATAGGTGCTAGAAATAAAAATCCAAAGGATATATTCTCTGCCATAAGAAATTCACTGTCTTGTCAAGGAGGAAGAGAAGTAAATGACTGATGAAAGTTGAGTGGGGTAGATGCTGTGATGCAGCGGCACAGGAGGGGCCCCTTGGAACAGACTAGCGAGGCCAGAAAAGCTCCTAAAACTTGTGCTTATTTTAAAGGACTGATAGCAGGTAGTGAGATTAAGAAGCTCCATCATTTGAGTGTCAAGTAATGAGTATATGGGGAAACATGGAGGACTGAAAGATTAGGCCACATTAAAAGTAGTAGCACTGGGTTCTGTGTGACCCAGGCAAGGCTGACAAGGTGGGAGGTGCATGTGTTCAGGTAAAATGGTTTGAACTTTATCCTTCAAGCTATAGAAGCCAGGCATAGTGACTCAGAGCTATAATCCCAGCATTTCGGGAGGTTGGAGCAGGAGGATTATCTGAGGCCAGGAGTTCAAGAACAGCCAAAGCAACATAGGGAAACCCCACTCCCCCACCCACCAACTATCTTTTTAAAAAAAATTATATTTTAAATTAAGCAGGCATGGTGGCTTGCATCTGTAGTTTTAGCTACTTGGGAGACTGAAGCAGGAGGATTACGTGAGCCTAGGAATTCAAGGCTAAAGTGAACCATGATCACACTACCGCACGCTAGCCTGGGTGACAGAGTGAGACCTTGTCTCAAAAAAAATATATTTATTTATTTTTTTTGAAAGGTGAAGAGAGCCCCAGAAAGACCTAGCCAGGGCAGTGAAATGGTCATAGTGGCTTAATAGTGCCAAGATGTCAGTTTTTTACATTGACATTCAGTATAGGGACCTTTGAAGTTACAATTGCTCCATCAAGAGCCAAGAAATGTTCCAGGTCCAATTCTCCAGTATTTTGTATAAATCTATTCAAAATAATTTGATATCAAATTTTAAAAATGATCAACTTAGAGGAATGTAACTAATAAACTTTTTTTTTTCTTTTTGAGACAGAGTCTTGCTCTGTCACCTAGGCTGGAGTGTGGTGGCATGATCTCGGCTCACTGCAACCTCCGCCTCCCGGGTTCAAGCAATTCTCCTTCCTCGGCTTCTCGAGTAGCTGGGATTACAGGCGTGTGCCACCACACCCAGCTAATTTTTGTATTTTTAGTAGAGACAGGGTTTCACCATGTTGGCCAGGCTGGTCTCGAACTCCTGACCTCAGGTGATCTGCCTGCCTCAGCCTCCCAGAGCGCTAGGATTACAGGCGTGAACCACTGTACCCAGCCAGCCACCGCACCCAGCCTAAATGCTTGATTCATTTCAACAAATACTTGTTTGGCACCTCTGTTAAAAGGCCCTGATATAGGACATTTAACTCCACAATGCAGTAAACTCTGAAAATAAGTAAATAGACAATTAAAAATCAAAAACTTAATTTAAGAAATAACCAAATCATTCCAAACCAAAACTATTTATTTTACTAAAGGAATTGCCACAGTATTTTAAAAGGCGAACTTATCTAATGCTGTTAGTTTTATTTATGATGACATAACGTAAACAACTTTTTACAAATGCCTTCACTAGGACTACATTGACATATACTTGCTTTACATATGTAACATTTTTCCAAAAGCAGCTTGAAAATTGTCAACTGCATCTCTCCAAACTATAGATAATCCTTAACTTATGAAGGTATTATGTCCCAATAAAACTATCATTAAATTGTAAACATCATAAGTCAACAATGCATTTAATATACCTAACCTACCAAACTGACTGAGAGCTGCAGCTCACTACTGCTGCACAACATCGCAACAGAGTATTTTGCTGCATATATGGCTACCCTGGAAAAAGATCCAAATTCACAGGATGGTTTCTTTCCCAAAGTAGCTGGGACTACAGGCACATGCCAGCAGGGCCAGTTAAATTTTTAATTTTAATTTTTGTAGCAACATAGGGTCTTGCTATGTTGTCCAGGCTCACAGTACAGTTTCTAATGAATGTGTACCACTTTACCACATGGTAAATTTAAAAAATTGTAAGTTGGGGACCATCTGTACTTTTTTTCTGCTGTCATGATTTTATTTTCATGCTACAAAAGTACATTCACATCAATATTTCCTTCTTTGAACTTTTTTCTTTACCTGCCTAATTCTGTTTGTCCCTCAAGATTTATCTTAGATGGCACCATCTCCAGGAAGCCTTCCCTGATTTCCCAGATTAAAGGAGTTGCTCCTTCTCTGGGCTCCCCAATCCACTGTGCATATGATTACCCAGGTAATTCCCACACTCTACTTAAATCAATGCTTTCTGTGTTTATTTTCCTAATTAGACCATGAGCTCCTTAAAAGCCCAGGCTTCATCTTTCAGCTCTGTATCTGCAGGACAATGGTACACAGTCAATGGCCAATAAATGTTGGTGAAGAGAGGAAGAGAGAGAGAATAAAATAAATTTTATGTCTATTTTCTCCATCAATTCTCTTCTCCTTCATCCTCATTTCATGTTTTCCTATTATTTCTCCCCAAACACTAATACATCATCTTTATCCCTCTCTTCCTAGTTTCAATTCACAACTTGCAATATCTCTCTTGGGGTCCTAACTATTGCAAAAATGCTGATCTGGTGTGTGAGTAGCACAGGTTTAAGAGTTTGTTGCTCCTTAGCATTGCAAAGAAGGGGATTGTTTTATCTGGCGCTGGATTAGTCTCCATTATATCTCCTCTTCTGTTTTAGCTAGGGATTTTTAACATGATTGAGTTTTACCTAGTTTTCAATGTTAGCAGCTGGGTAAACATACTTTCTGCAACACCCTGGATAAAATGGCAAACTCCAGGGGAAAGTCTTCTACCTTTAGATTAATAAAAAAGACTTGCTCACAGCCCTGGTTGGGGAATAGTAACACTTGAGAGCATTTGAGGGGAATCGTGTGTGCTGGCTGTGGAAAACGCAGCTGATGACCAAAACAGGCAGCTGCCGTCCTGAGTGAGGCTGATCGCCCTCAGAGAGTAGCTTCAAACTGTACTTAGCAAGAATAACAGAGAACTGAGGTAAGTGACTGACAACTCTGGTAGGTACTTCCAAAAAAGCCTGGACTTTTCATAGGAGAATCACCTGATTCTAAAAAATATAAATGAAGGCTTACAAGGGACAGGGAGGGGAGTACTCAAAAATTGCTCAAGGAAAATACTTTGGAAGGAAGATTTTGAAACACAATAGGAAATTCACGTGTATATTTACAAGAGCCAACTTTGTAAAAATCCATAAATGCTTCTGTTTTCACTGTCTTCGAATTGGGTGTAAAGGATGAGAAAACTTTTTAAAATAAACACAGTGAGTTCATCATTCCTAGAGTTTGTTTTTAAAGTTATCTGCTGTGCAAATTCACTCTCATGAATCCCTCCACATTTTCACGTTTTAAAGATTTTCTAAAATAAAAATATCAGGCAAGGAAAGTGTCTATAAGTATTAAAGGAAAGTGCCTGCGATGTAAGGTTTAACAGAAGACAACAGGCAAAAACACGATAGACTCACATGGTAAAGTCGATTATTTGTGAGTGGCTACTGTTACTAAAAATATGTTTTTACTATGGAAATGGCTGGCAAACCACATTTTAAAAACTGGAGCATGTATATCAACATGTTGAAAAAGTACAATAAATGAGTAACAGGTACAGCCTATAACTGTAATAGTTTTGCAAGAGAAAAAATTTTTTAAGTGGTTATTATGAAAAATATGGAAAACTAACTTCTTAGGCTCACCGAAACAAATGTGTTAAGTAATAGTTCAAAAACAACCACTACCAAAAAGAAGTATGTCTTCTAGAAAGTCTGCAATGGTTACCAAATGAAAATTCAGGAGGGCAGGAATTCTTGACTGTATTTTACTGCTATATCCCTAGTGCTCAGAACAGTTCATGGCACATAGTAGGTGTTCAACAAATGCTTGTTGAATATGTGAGAGACTGAATAAATGGAGAAGCATAGACCACTTCAACCTGGCCCTCTGGTCTTCCTAGGTGAGAAACGGGGTCTTCCTGACTCCACGTTGCTGAAATGCTTTGACCTCTTCTCTACTAGGTAGAGCACTCCCTCCCTTGACGCTCTCTCTTCAAGTTAGAAAAAAGTTGCAATAAGCAAATCCATTTTATGGCCAGAAAAAAAAATCCTTTATTTCACAAGTTTAAGAAACTACTTTGTCATAAAGGCTTTCATGAGTTCACGACTTGATCTGCCTGCCATGGGCTCCCACTCTCTCTGAACCAACCTGACACCCCTCTTCTCTTGCTCCCTCAGATCCAAGCACACTGTCCTCTGACTTACTCCATAAACTCTGCCTGGAATTCATCTCCCAGATGCCTGCCAGCCTCCCTCAGACATTTTCTCTCATTTCTTGCAAGCTTCTGATCAAATGTCACTTTCACAGAGAAGCCCTCTGTGACCAGACTAAATGAAAAACCCAGCTTCACACTTAACTTCTGGCATTCTTCCTTGTCCTGGCCTGTATTATTTTTCATGGATACACTTTGTCTGTTTCGTTCACTTCTCTATCCCCAACTTGCAACAGTGCCTACTACACAGTTAGTGCTCAATAAATATTTCTTGAGCGCATAAACAAACAAGGACACAGTCATATTTCATGTGCCACTTCAGGGAGGCAATATGAGAGATGAAAAAGGTGTAGCCTTTTGAATCCCATTTCTAACTATTCACTATGTGCCTGACCTGGAGACCACCTCCCTAAATGTCAGAATTTTCATATCAAGTGGGAATAATAACACTTATCTGGCATGTACTTGGCAGCCACCAAAGGCTGGTTCCACTCCTTCCTTTCTCCCTGGCTCCTTTTTTGTGGCTATGAGCTAATGTAACACTTTTGTTAGGAAATAAAATGCCTGCAAGTTCTGAGGTGGCTGTGTAATGCATGTGCTGAGCAAGACGAGAATGTTGAGAAGGCCCTAGAGCAGTATCATTCATAATGACAACTAACGTTGATTGTACTTCTGTTTGGCAATGGCAACGGACAAGGCATGAAAAGGACAATGTTCTTTCCTAAAGGTGCCAACATCTTACTGGGAACAGAGGCTTCTAGAACTGGCCTTGAAGCATGACTAAGTTTCAGAATAGTGGTAATTCTGAGAAGCATTTCAGAGAGGAAACTAAACCAATTGGGAGGGTGACTATAGCAGGGCCGTCCTTTGGAAACATGTAAGAAGAAGAGTGGACAGGAAAGGTGATGTCAGATTATGGAAGACACCGCATGCCAGGCTGGAGGCTACGTCTAATCATGTAACTTATGAAGCACCACTAATATTTTTGAATACTGGAAAAACACACATCATATAATGAAAATGAGAAATTTTAAGAGACTTCTCAAAGCCAAGCACTAAGCAGTACTAATGATTCCAGTGATATTTGTTCAGAAAAATAAATGATAAGCTTATAAACTGGAATGAATCAATATTCTAATTCTAATCTTCCCAGGTCATCACTATTTGAACTACCGTGGAGGAAGAGAGACGTGCTAGAAGAGACTTGGAGAACTGCAACTCATAAGAAGGTACCAAAAAATGTCAGCGCACTAGCAGAAGAGAGCACAAAAGCTAGCCTGCAAGCAGCCAAGGGCTCTATCTGTGGTCTGTGTTTTAACGGCAGTACCAATGATGATGTGACCTCCTTATGAAATTTCCTCTCCTAGGACTACCCACGCCTGCCCCGTCTCTTCCTTGCAGGTCGATTCCTTACTTATTGTTAAGTCTGAATAAAAATATAACAAACTTATAGATACCAAAATGCTGAAACTTCTACTTCTGTGTATAAAAGAACAGAAAGAAGAAGGTTGCAGATTATATAATTCACCCCAAAGAGGGAAAATGGCAATGAGTATGTTACAGATGCTACTAAAAGTCATCCCACAGTTGAACTCTATAACATAATTTAGCAAGGAATAAAAGTTTTAAAACACAGGAAACCAATCTAGGTATCATATTTTTCTTGGGATCTGTTCTTCTCGCAGTATGGTCATGATTTATTCAGTTTATCAAAGAGCTTCT
Organism: Homo sapiens; assembly: GCF_000001405.40. Lineage (NCBI taxonomy): Eukaryota > Metazoa > Chordata > Mammalia > Primates > Hominidae > Homo > Homo sapiens. The sequence goes on along the minus strand of NC_000007.14, from coordinate 40,460,562 downwards.
GATAAGGTTCTCACAAGTGGCTATTATTGAAACTTGGTAACCATCGTGTGAAAGGAAAAAGCTTTATCAATTAATTATATGAATTACAAATGCTTGAGAGGCAGAGAGGCAAAAAGAAGAAATAAATGGGCACTTCTCATGTGGAGAAAAGTTAATCATTGAGGGCTCTGGGGCTTCGCGGTAGAATCAGAGTTATATTTAACTAGGGACCAGAAAAGGGCACCCAGTTCTCCATCCCCCATTCTGTGTCTATCAGTCCCACAACACACAGTCCCTATTGATATGAATAGCATTTGGCACATGGAAAAGATACAGGCAGTGTTTAAAATTATAAAATGTTTAAAGTTACAAAAGTATTTCAAATCCAGGAAAAATAGATAGATGAATGTTGATTCAGATATTCCTGCAGACATCCCCAAATACAAAGACAACAAAAATAAAAACAGCGGAATTTTAGTTCTTATAACTTTGATGTATACTACATAGAAACACTTGAGCCTTTTCAAAAGGCTAAATATGGTATTTAAACAAAATTACCTAATTTATTGGCATGATGAGAGCAAATTTTCAATATAAAAGAAAAGTTCATGTGGGCATTTAGATCCACAAAAGCCACAAAGCCCATTTGTACAGATTCAGAAGACATGTAAAGGCAAACAAAAAGTGAAACTGACATGAAACAGTAAGAATAATTATTTTCTTCAGACAAACTTGAAAAATTGGTACAGGTATTACAAAAAAATAACCTGACATTAATGGAAAAAAATGGAAATAAAATATTCTACTTAATTAACATTAATATTTTATGACCCATAACTCAATGTGGCATCTGCAATGATCCAGAAATAACATCAAGATTCACAGGAGTGGCTCAGAAATGCAAACCAACTCTTGATTTCACCTCTCTTTACCTTGCTTTCCTTACATGTAAAATGGAAATAACAGAACTTACCTCACAGGATAATTATGAGGATTAAACGAGACAATGTATCTAAAGCATTTAACAAAGTGAAAGTATGAAATAATGTTAAATTATTATTGTTGTTGTTGTTGTATTTATGATAAACTAAACCCAAACAGGTACAGGACACAGAGAAACAACCAAATTCAAGTCATGGTGACTTTCTTATTTATATCATTGTTATGACTCAGTACTTAACAAAACATAAAATGTGTTCAAGTGCTTCTAAACAAACAAACAAAAAAACCCCACAGCTTTAAAATCTCTCCACCAGCCAGTTTTGTAAAATGGAAGAGAATTACAAATTGATCTCAAATAAGCCAAGAAAAAAACATATAAAACACCAGATAAATGCTTATCACATATTAATTCTTAAATGGATGAATACAACATCCAAACTTACCGTTCAGATAATATTTTAATAAGCTCTTTTCTATTGTGTACCCGAAGGTGGTTAGTTTTATACTTGGAATTATCAATCAACTCAGGCAAATCCAAGATCTAAAAGAAAAAAATAATTTTCCAGTATAAGAAATAGGTAGTTCTTGTACCTGCCTGTGGGTGCTAGTGTTCAGGTCCTATCTCTCCCTTCTCAAGAACATTCCTTGCTGGTCTTTATGCCCCTCAACAAGGACATATGGAGGGAACAAGCACACGATTAGGATGGAACATGCTGGTGAAAGGGTTTGTCATTCATAAGAGGCTTTTACTACATTTAAGCAAATATTCTTACATATAGGAGACCAGCAAAAGATGCCCATAAGTCTTATACCAAATATGAGAATATAGGAAACATGTTAGCAGATCCCCACAGAAAAAAATCTTGTTTAGAGGAAATAGGGAGAGAGATGCTAAACTGGGTAAAACGGACCAAATTTTAAAAACCAATATCCTAAGTGCATATCTACATGTATCTTGTATACAGTCAACATGTACCTTGTAGATATATTCACTTATTTATACCATATGTAAATAAAATACTGTGATCTTCCCAGGTTGTCCTATGCAGAATGTTCTAAAAGCTGCTAAAATAAAGTAAAAGCAAATACATTTACCCAAATTCTCACCATTTAAACAATAGCAAATTAAAAGATCTTCTTCCTATAGAAGTATCACTATTTTTTATGAATATATCTCCCTGAAGTAATACCAACTAGAAATGCTTTTATAGATTTCCTCTTTTGCTCCTCCTCAATAAGGGGAAAATCTATCTTGCAAGTCCCTTTGGACAACATTCAACGTTAACAAGACCATAATGAAAGTACCAAGTGGATTTGGAATGGAAAAGTTTTACAAAGACTGTGTAGAGGCAGTGCTTGGCAGTTGTATTGGAAAGTCACAAGGAGTATTTACAGCCTGGGGGCAGGCCATGCGGCCTACAGAAAGCTTCATTGCCTTTATTAATATATTTACTTTCAATATAAATATTTAATGGTTTCATTTATTTGCCACAGTTTAAATAAAATCTATCTATTAATCATCTTACAAAGGACAGAGAAGTGAAGAAGATTCCCTTGAGTAAAGAGACCATCTCAGTGGTGTAATTTTTCTTTCACATGTTTCACTTATTTCCTTTAGGAATAATAAAGACTGCATTATTCTCCCGGATTTTAAAAACCAACACCACATACAGCACCCTTTCTAGAAACCTCCCTGTCACAACACCTGATCCAAGAATTGGCCTCAAGCCCTGTCTAGCAGTTAGACACCCTCCCTCCGTAAGAGTGAATAAGTCATTCCAAGAAAAAACCAAGCGTCTTCACTAAGTCACAGGTTAAATTTATAAACCTGGCCTCACCCAAAAAGCACCATCAGCAACAAAAAATTACACAGTGACCACACTTAAGGGTAACTGGAATGCCCATGTGTCCTCTGTATTTGACTTACTGGAACTCTTTTTTGTTTCAAAGATGGTGTGAAATCGTTGGCCAAAGTAATGATCCTTCCATCTTCAGCTATGCCAGCTAACATTCAAAATGTTTCGAGAGACAACTTCAATGACTGTGATCATAACTATTATTTTGGAGCTTAAATTAAAAAAGAGTGCTGCCTGGGATAAAATAAAACAATGTACATGAAAATGCTTGACATATTAAGCACTAAATAAATGTGAAATATTCCAACTAGGTACTGTTTCCCCCAAAAGATATTTTTTTTTTTGAGACAGTCTCACACTGCTGCGTAGGCTGGAGTGCAGGGGCACGATCTCAGCTCACTGCAACCTCCACCTCCCGGGTTCAAGGGATTCTCCTGCCTCAGCCTCCTGAGTAGCTGCGATTACAGGCATGCGCACCATCATGCCCGGCTAATTTTTCTGTATTTTTAGTAGAGATGAGGTTTTACCATGTTGGTCAGGCTTGTCTCGAACTCCTGACCTCAAATGATCTGCCCACTTCGGCCTCCCAAAGTGCTTGGATTACAGGCATGAGCCACAGAGTCTGGCCAGAAAAATTTAAAAAGCATATATTGGTACAAAAAAGAAAGGAGGGAGGGCTCTGCAAAAAAATGAAGAGACATTGGCAAAAACAAAAAAAAAAGAAAATAACAAAACACCATAAACTGAGTAGCAAACGAAAGGAGAAGAGAAAAAATAATGAAGACCCATGATAATAAAAACTGCAAGTGTTTTAACATGCCTATCATCTAATGTTCCCCTTAAAGCAAAAACCAAAATCCTTAAGATAGTCTGGAAGGTTCTACACAATATGGCGCTATTACCTCTCTAACATCACCTGTTACCATGCTCTCCTCCCTTGCTCATTGCTGCAGCCATTTCATCTTCTTGCTGGACCAGAAACATGTCTATTCCACTTCAGCCTCAGTAGTTTTAAAATAGCTATTCCTTTGCTTGGAACATCTTCCACCAGACATCTAGTTGGCTAGCTCCTCCTTTCCTTGGTTGAGTAGGCTCAAATTCAACTTCTTAATGCAACTACCTTGATTACCCTACCCCCATCACAGGCCACCCCACCCCACTCAACACTGACTCCCCTGATTCCCTCTTCCCTTGACCACTTTTTCCCATAATATTTATCACCTAACATATTTATTATGTTTATTACTCCATATCTGTCTGCCCTGCTAAAATATAAGCTTCACAAAGTCAAAGTATTTTAAATGTTTTGTTCACTGGTATAGCCCAAATGCTGACAACACATTCTTCAACTGACAAGCTCACAGACAAACAATATGAACAATTTCAGGTGTATGATATTGCAGACATTATTCTATGCATATACCTTATTCAATTATGTCTAAAATCACTTTTTAGTTGCAGCCAGGGGCGGTGGCTCATGCCTATAATCCCAGCACTTTTGGGAGGCCAAGGCGGGTGGATCACCTGAGGTCAAGAGTTGGAGACCAACCTGGCCAACATGGTGAAACCCCATCTCTACTAAAAATACAAAAATTATTCAGGCATGACGGTGGGTGCCTGTAATCCCAGCTACTCAGGAGGCTGAGGCACAAGAATCACTTGAACCCAGGAGGCAGAGGTTGCAGTGAGCCGAGATCATGCCACTACACTCCATCCTGGGCAATAGAGCAAGACTCCATCTCATAAATAAAAATAAATAAATAAATAAAATATAAATATAGTTGCTTCTTAAAAGCTATATGGCCTCTGAAAGAGCTGTTTGTCAGGAGAAAATTATGAAGAGTTGTCATTGCCTGTAAGTCATAATGTTCATATACACCGCCATCACTTTAAGTGCATTACTGGCACAACACATGTTAAGTTTAATTGCCATTTAAAATGGCATCCAGTATGATAGAAAATATGATAACTCAGTACTGAAATAAAAGATCTTTGCATATGCAGGAAGGTGCAGAAACAGAGAATCACTTGTAGCATAAGAACTACTGGAATCTAGCTTTTAGATAAAGGAAAAGGCAACATCTCTTGTGAAATGTGAGGTTTCACAATTTCTCAACAAATTCAGATCATCTGATCTTCCCTCTGCCAGCACAAATGTTAAATAAGTATTTGCACAAGAATTTGTTGCAAACAAGTTTTCTGAGATGACAAAAACTGGTCCATAATTAATATAGCCCCACTCCAGTTTTCTTTTCATTAGTGTTTGCCTCTTTTGTTTGTGTTTGTATATTTTTCCATCTTCTTACTTTAACTTAACAGTATCATTATATTTGAAGTGAATTTCAAATATGAATTGGACAGCATAGAGTTGGGTCATTTTTTTCTGACAACTTCTGTTAATTCATATATTTAGACCATTCACATTTAATGTTGTTGATATTTTTGAATGACTTAGATCAGTTTATTCTTTTTTCTGTTTATCCCTGTTTTGCTTTCTGGTATTCTTTAGAGTCATTACTATTACACTTACCTATTTTGATTTTGGCTATATTTTTGCATAGATGTTTAATGATAGATGTTTAATGACTGCTTAGGGAATCATAATGCATATACTTTTCGCATTGTAGTTAGAATCAAAATTTTACCACTTCAAGTGGAATATAGCAAACTTACTACAATATAGTCCCTTTACTCTCCCCATTTTATGTTGTATTTATCTGTATGTTAGATCTACATACACTGAAAATCCCATCAGACAGTATCTTAATGTTTGCTTTCACCCATCAAATATTTCAAAGAATTCACTAGGAAAAGAATAGACCATTATATTCACCCAGATATTTACTATTTACGTTACTTTTCCTTCATTTCTGATGTTTCCAGTTCCCTTCTGACAACATTTACCTTCTGTAAATGAAAAATTCCTGGAAAAATTATTTTAGAGGAAGTCAGCTGGCTACAAATTCCCTTAGTTTTCCTTTATACAGAACATCTTTATTTAACCTTCATTTCTTAAGGATATTTCTACTGGATATTGAAATCTAGGTTGGCATTCTTTCCATTCAGCCTTTTAAACATGTTGTGCCACTTCTTCCCTAGCATTAATTTCTGACAAAAAAATATGCAGTTAATCAAATCACTGTTTCCCCATGGATAATACATTTTTTCCCCCTCTGGGTGTTTTTCTGGATGATTTTTGTGTATCCACTGTGTTACAATTGCCTATAGTATTGAGTGCAGTAACATGTACATGCTGTACAGATTTATAGCCTAGGAGGAATAGGCTATCCCATATAGCCTATGTGTGTAGCAGGCTATACCATCTAGGTTTGTGTAAGTACACTCTATGATATTCACACACCACCACCAACTGACACATTTCTCAGGACATACACCTGTTCTTAAAGGACACATTATGTATTCATGCATAGATTTTTTTCAGTTTATCCCATTTATGGTTTGCTGAAATTACTAAATCTACGGGCATTTAACTTTTACCAAATTTGGTATATATACAATTGTTATTTCTTCAAATATTTTTCAGCATGTACACTTTCTCCCCTCATTCTGGGACTACAATGACATAAATATTGGACTTTTTGTTATTGTTGAATAGGTTCCTGAGGATCTGTTATTTCTTGTTTTGAGTAGGAAGGAGCTATCTTTTGTTCTCTCTCTTCTTCAGATTGAATAATTTCTATTGATCTATCTTTAAGTTCCTTGTCATCTTCATTGCACTATTGAGCTCAACGAGTGAGGTGTAATTTTTTTCTTGGTTATTATACTTTTAAGTTTTTAATTTTCCTTTTGGTTCTTCTTCATATCTTATATTTCTTTGCTAAATATTTCTATATCCCATTTATTAAACAGTGTTTGTGATGCTTGTTAGAGCGTTGTTATAATAGCTATGTAAACATCTTTGTAAGTTAATTCCAACATCTGTGTCATCTTCGCGTTGGCATTGATGGCCTGTTCTCATGCAAGTTCTGGTTCTTCATATGCTCAGTAATAATGGATTGTATCCTGGACATTTTGAACATTATATTATGAGCCACTGGGTCTTGTTTAAATTCTAAGGAGAATTTTTACTCTTGCTGGTTTAGCAGACAATTGACCTGGTTACATCCAGGCTGCCAGTTCTTACCCACCTTCTGTGGGCTTTGATTCTCATTTTGATTAAGGTTTCAAAGCCTTTGCAGTGTTATTTGAATCTGACTAGTAAGTGCCAAACCTAATGGTCATATGACAACCTGGGCAGTTGTCTATTTACTAATTCAGTTCCTATCATCTTTGGTATGCTGATTAGGATCAAATTAGTGCATATGCAAGTAAGGGGTGATCCCAAGAGTTCATAAACAACATCAAGGATTGCTTTGTCAAGATCTTCTCTCTGCAATCTCTCTAGCATTTTCCAGTTGCCTGGGGCTCCTGCTTTAGTTATCCCACTCCCCAGCATGGTTCCAGGGCAGAGGCCATGCAACAGGAGAATGGAGGGGGAAAAGGAAAGGAGATTCACTCCTTTCTTTGGGATCACAGCTCAGCAATGAAGAAAGTTCTTCTTTCTCAGAGTTGGCTCCTGCTCATCTGCTGTTTCCAATACAGGATTACTTGGGGTCTGGGGCATAAGAAAATGGAAAGGAGGGGAAAACAAACTATTTCCACACTCTCTCTGACATTACAGCTCACTTTTTCATGTTCTTTGCACCGGGAATAAAGAGCATTTCCTGGATATCTGCTGCACTGCCTGGTGCTCACTTCCAGGTTTCAGGTTCAACTATACTCAAGTGAAGGAATAACTAGAGGGAAAAGCTGGTTAAGTTGACTGCCAGTTAGAGGTACTTCAAATTCAGGTGTTCTCCCCTAAATCTCTTACTATTTACTTTTCAAAGTCTTTTAATACATGCTTCATGGATTCATGCAATTCTGTCCAGGTATGATCACCGTGCTCGGGGTAAGTGGGAAAAGTGTATTTACTCTCTCCTCCTCAGAACCAGAATCTTCATATCTAATTTTCATAGATGTCATTTATTAAGTGCACATGAGCAAGGCCTATTCTAAGTGCTTCACTTCTCTAACACTTTCCAAACCCCTAAGTTGTATACAAGTATAATTACGTATTATAATCTTCATTTTATACATAGGAAAACAGATGCTTAGAAAAGATTAAGGACCGTGACAGAGTTCACCTACCAATAAGACTTACAGTAGGCCTTAAACATTATACCTTGGATATATTATATTTTGGAGCAGGTGGTCTAAAAACTTGCTCCAAAATCACCTACAGTCCTTCTTAAAACTGAAGTTTCCTCTACCTCACCCCAGACATACTAAAGTAAAATGTTCGGGAATGGGGCTAAAGGACATTCCTATGCATACTACATTGAGAACCAATGTATAGTCTCTCCAGTAAAAGAAGCCTTCAGTCTACATTACTTTCAAAAGGATGTCAATATTCAATATTTCATATAGGAATACCCATTTGGGTGGCATCCATCAGCTTAAAATAGCTTACATATGCTCACTTTCATACTTTGCTGTATCATGGTAAGGAACATTAAGTAGGACTTGTTATGAACAAGGTTCACTTTATACACAACAAGATTTTCTGGAACCTCAGACTTGAACCCAATATTCTTGCTCCCACTCCAACTCCTTACAGTGAAAGCTCACTAATATAGCTCCTCCCCAAGAATTATCAATCAACCACTATATCAATTCTATTTTGGGAAGAGACTAGGCATAAGTCAATTCCATTCATTTGTCACAGACAGTGCTGCCACATTTCTCACCAGGAACTAAAGTTGTCCCATCTTTCCTGATGGAGTGTACTTGACGAAAGAACAGTTTTGAGGGGCTCACTGTGAAGAACTGGGAACCCCATCTTCTATAAGCCCAGTTTGAATAACAAGGCTCTGAGTAATAAATAAATATGAGTAAAAAAAAATGCTTAGAAGACATCCACACGCTACACATAACTGGGAAGGGAAGAAAACCTTGCATCAGAATGGAGGAACAGATGATTTTTCTTAGGTAAGAAGGTGTTTAGGACAAGTTTACATGTGAGGGCATAATTACAAAGATTTGAAAAAGTCAATCAGATTGCAGCATTCACGCAGGATGCTTAGCTAATAATGTAAATAACTCAAGAATCCCGTACACATAAATCTTCTGAGAATCTCAAAGAGTTTTACAGACATTGGATTAATGGCTCATAACAGGGATTATCATTCCTAACTCTCATATGAGAAAATCAAGGTCAAGTGTGCCATTCCTAAGGCCCTCTGATAGTCTCCTTTATAAGCAATGTCTTATAACACACCATAACAATAAGTCATATTTCAGTACTAAAACTTCTGGCAAATATTCTGCTTTGAAATAAGAACCTTTGTTGAAAACTGTTCTTATGGATATTTATGAGGAAGTTCAAAAGTGTTAACTTGATCGGCAGTAATGAATCAAAAATACAAAGAATTCAGTACAGTTATTTTCAAAACTAAAGAGTATGTCAAACAGTAATTTTCACTGCCAGGTCCTCCCACCCCCAACCCCACGACTTTCTGGAGAAAGAAAACTCCAAAACATATGGCCCAGGAAGAAAATCTGTACTCGTTTATAGCAATGAACTGGCTTATACATCTCTGCAGTTAGAGTACGCAAATGACTTCACAGGCAACAGCTTCCGTATGTTTCATATTTTTAACATTGACCGTTCATAATAAAGATTCTTTGATCCCAGATCAAATGTTTGAATCGATTTTCCCTACACTTACTCAGAGTCACCATTTAAAAGGCTCCCCTCTTTCCCACCTCAGATGTTTCAGCCCTTCCTGCAATCAGAACTATCTCCATTTGTCAGCTTCTCCCTGGTCCTTCCCAACCCTTTGCTGTGGTTTTTAGCTCTGCTCCCTACCTTCTCATACAAAAGAGGCACAGTAATAAGTAATTTCTGTACATAATAAGTTAACTACAGTAAATGAGATTCAGGATTTCATAGGCATCTCTTTTTTTTTTTGAGACAGAGTCTCCCTCTGTCACCTAGGCTTGAGTGCAGTGGCGCAATCTCGGCTCACTGCAACCTCCGCCTCCCGGGTTCAAGCAATTCTCCTGCCTCAGCCGAGTAGCTGGGACTACAGGCGCATGGCTGCCACACCTGGCTAATTGTTTGTATTTATTAGTAGAGACAGGGTTTCACCTTGTTGCTCAGGCTGGTCGAGAACTCCTGAGCTCAGGCAATCTGCCCACCTCGGCCTCTCAAAGTGCTGGGATTGCAGGCATGAGCCACTGCGCCTGGCCCTCATAGTCATCTTTAATAACACTGAAAGCTCATGGTAAAATTTAGTATAAAAGCTGATTGTCTCTCAAAAAAAAAAAAAGAAAAAAATCCTTAACAGGTAAGGCCTTTGGATATATTTAAGAAAAATAAAAATAAAAATGAAATTCTATTACTTGGATTAAAACCAGAAAAAATGAACAGATACCTAAGTTCTAAAATTAAAACAAAACACCAAAGTCTTGATAACTAATATAAACATCAAGTAAAGAAAAAAAAAGTCTAGTAGGCCGGGTGCAGTGGTTCACGCCTGTAATTCTAGAACTTTGGGAGGCCAAGGTGGGCAGGTCGCTTGAGGTCAGGAGTTCGAGACCACCCTGGCCAGCATAGTGAAACCACATCTCTACTAAAAATACAAAAATAGCCAGGCATGGTGGCACGCACCTGTCATCCCAGCTCCTCTGGAGGCTGAGGCAGGAGAATCGCTTGGAGCAAGGAGGCAGAGGTTGCAGTGATCCAAGATGGCGAAGTTTAGTAAATGCTACAAGTTTAGAATATCCCTAAGAATAAATTATTTTAAATGATTCCAAGGTCTTTATTTTAAGGCCTTGTTGAGAAGGAACAATTTAATATAATCTTAATTCCTAAAACCTTGAAACATAAATTCTTCAGAAAGGTACTCATTAAATAAAGGTTAAGTTGAAAAAAAGTTTTAAAATTTCCAGTAGTAAATAAAATAAATATGGGAGTAGCTTAACTATATATGGTTCCAATTAACCTGATATAGTAAAAGAGAAGGAGGGAGAGAACGAAAGGAAGAAAGGAAGGCAGGAAGGGAAGGAGGGAGGTGAAAAAAAGAAAAAAATACCAGTGTTAAAGGTCCCTCTAAAAATGATTCCCCCATTTTGTTTGGAATGGTAGGCAGGTCAAGTTTTAGGACAATTTAAGCTACTACGATTCTTCACTTTAAAATACAGCCAAATACCACAAAAAACACAGAATGCTAATTTGGACTCTGCCTTATCCTTTATGCGCATGAATATCCTATACTTTTAGTTGCTAACACAGGGGGCCTAAGTTGGTTGTGACCTGGGCAAAACTGAACTTTCCCTGGCTTTGTACAAAATCATCGACCAATCCCAATAATTATAGATTACCTTGCAGACGGTGGCAAACTGCTGGTTATTTCCTGCTCCAACTACAATATAGCCATCCTTGGTTTTAAAAGCCTAAAAGAAATAAATACACAGGTAAATATTATTTATATGTTGACAAGACCACAAAAGTTTAATTTCTAAAATATCTATATAGAAAGCTTGTTCTAAAGCAATGTTATTAATTCAATATCGATTAATTTGTATCTTTTTCATATATGTATACATATATATCTTCCACAAAAGATATAATATATATATACACACTAACTAAATGTCAAACAGTCAATAGCCACATGTGGCTAGTGGCTATTGTATTAGCCAGCACAGACGGAATATTTCCATCATCACAGAATAGATCTCTCTCTCTCTCTCTTTCTCTCTCTCTCTCTCTCTCTCTATATATATATACACACACACACACACACACACACACATATATACACACACACACACATATGTGTCTATGTATGTATGTATGTATATATGAGTGTGTGTGTGTGTATGTATTTGGTGACAGGGTCTGTCTCTGTCACCCAGGCTCCCAGGATGGAATGCAATGGCACGATCTCAGCTTACTGCTCCACCTCCCAGGTTTAAGCAATCCTCCTGCCCCAGCCTCCTGTGTATCTGGGACTACAGGTGCATGGCATCATGCCCAGCTAATTTTGTACTTTTTGTAGAAATGGGGTCTCACTATGTTGCCCAGGCAGGTCTTAAACCCCTGGGCTCGAGATCCGCTTACCTCAGCCTCCCAAAGTGCCGGGATTACAGGCATGAGCCACCATGCCTGGCCCTTTTTCTTTTATATTTGGATAGTTGGTTTCATTTAGATGGTTCTAAGCATTTCCTAACTCTTCCACTGTTACAACATTTGTCAAAAAAACAAAAAAGAGTGATTCAAAAAAATAAAGGAAATCCATTATAATGTACAAAATAAAATACTCTATTCATTATGGTTTGGAACAATTAAGAATTTTTTTGTTTTATTTTCATTTTTTCCCTGTAGGGCAAAAAGCATTATAAGGCAAAAAGCATTATGTTTCTACAAAGTGTAAGAAGCATAGATAGAAAGAAGGGAGAAGCAAAGGAAGGAGAAGGAAGGAAGGAAGGAAGGGAGGGAGGGAGGGAGGGAGGGAGGGAGGGAACTGGGAGAGGGAAGGAAAGTGACCTCATGGAGCTACATTGCTTCTTTCAAGAACTCAAATGTAATCTTTTGGGCACTCTTTAATTTTAGTGGCAAAAATGGACACATCAGTATCTCTCTGGACCTCATGTGGCTTTATGTACCTAAAAATGTCTGTCCTTTTTTGGTGACAGGTTCCTGTGGACAGCGATGGACACTCTAACCACCCACAGTCCTAGCCCATTGGAGGATGTTTTAGCACTTCTTTCTCCACATATGATCACAGTGAAATTGGAGGAACCAAATTTTACCCTCAGAAGGCCTCATTCCTACTTCCCCAAAGTAAATTAGCTATTTGAATTTTCATCCTTTCTACATAAAAACTGTGCTGTATCTCCACCTACTTTTTCTTCACTTCCTCCTCCCTTTAAGAAAAAAGACTGTTTTCCTTGACTGGACTTACTCCTGGGCTGATCACCTCCACCTGCATCCTCCAGAACTTGCTTAATCATCTGTAAGTTCTTCATTTCCACTGAATCCTTCTCTTCTGCCTACATATAGGCTCAGTTCTCCATAAAAATACCATTAACAACAACTGAAGAGAATTTTGATCAATCCCAACACCCCTTTCAAGGTATCTTGAATGTTCCTTTGTTCCCTTCTTCTATAATGACATAAGAGCGCCACCTGCCCTCACTTCCCCACCAAGACCACATTCTAGTGACCTCTGTCATCGGGATACTTACTATCACACTGAACTATACTTTTTGAACCCTCTGTATTATTTGGTACTGTTAACCATTCCCTCCTCCATGAAAGTCTCTTATCTTCAGGCTCTGTCCAAGTTCATCTCCTAGCTCTCTGTTTTACACATACCCTTTCTGCAGGATTTTCTTCTCCTGAGCCTTCAGCATTCCTTAAGCATCTGTCTTTGGTCTTTCACTTCACTTGCTTCTTACATTAGCCACTAGCCGCATGTGATCATTAAATTTAAATAAACTGAAATTAGCCAGTCACTAAAGGCCAAATATTGTGATTCTATTTATAAGAAATGTCTAAAATAGGCAAATCCATCAAGACAGAAAAAAACACTAGTGGCTGCATAAAGCAGTGGAAGCTGGGGGAAGATGGGGAGTGATTGTTAATGAATACTGGGTTTCTTGTCAGGGTAATGAAAATGTTCCAAAATTGACTGATGGTTGCACAACTCTGAATACACTAAAAATCACTGAATTGTGCACTATAAATGGGTGAATTATATGGTACATGAATTACATTCCAATAAACCTGTTATTAACAATTAACAATTCAGATCCATAGTCACACTAGCTAAATATCAAGCATTCAATAGCCACGTGTGGCTAGTGGCTACTGTATTAGCCAGCACAGACACAGAGTACTTCCATCATAACATAAAGTTATTTTATACAGTGCTGGTAGAGTGGAACTGGGAGATTGTATTGGTCATGTCTTAATTTCAGTCTTCATCATCCTAACATGATATCTGAAGAATGTTAGGCAATTAATAAATAGTTGGTAAATGCTAATGAATCAACCAAATGATTGCTTCCAGATAGCACAATGGTAACTAAAATAGATCCCAAGAAATACATTATAAAAAGGTTTTATTCTATTTACATTGTTGCTTGATTTGGTAAGGAATGCTATTAAGGAGATATCACATAAACTCTTTCAAACATTCTCCCTTGTCCATGAGGGCAAAAGTAAAGTTAGTGTCATAGACAATGCATTAGTGTTTCTCAACTACAGAAAGAAAATCTGCAACAAAGCTGTAGGTGAGGTACAAAAGATTTTGAGCTGAAGTATTGCAAGGAACCATTGACAACTGTGAAGTTACACAGGTTGTTTGCTTGCTTTTTTGTGGAGAAGGGTGAGATGGGGGGCGAATAAGTAAATGTGAAGTAACAATCTGTGTTGGAATATATAATGTGAAGAAAGGCTTGCCAAATTTTGGATCAGTGATATGTCCAATAAGTTTATATTTTCTGGGCTGTTCATTTCCTTTTAATAAGTAAAGAAATGCATATTTTTCCCTGCAGCCGCCAACATATATTTAAATATATCTTTTATCAATATAAAAGTTTAAAATTTTTAAGAAGATTCTAGATAGCTGAACATGCAGAGGTTCCTGAAGGATGGCATGCCCTGGGAGGAAATGGAAGCTCCATACCCCTCCCTATACCTTACAATACACATCTCTTCATCTGTACCCTTGTTAATATCCTTTAAAACAAACCAGTAAACATAATAATTTTATGCAAAGGTAACTAGTCAATGATCATTGAAAAGTGAAGAACTCATGGCAACTGAGCCTCAGAATATAATCAGCCTAAAGATTATCAAATAGATTTTATAAAGATTCAGGTAAGATTAGGAGTTCTTTTTAATAATTATTTGTTCCCTGTTACTGCTACAGTATTTATTTAATAAACATCTTAAATAAGAACTTTAAAAAATAATATGTTATTGAGGATTTTTGCATAGATGTTCATCATGGATATTGGTCTAAAATTCTCTTTTTTTGTTGTGTCTCTGCCAAGCTTTGGTATCAGGATGATGCTGGCCTCATAAAATGAGTTAGGGAGGATTCCCTCTTTTTCAATTGTTTGGAATACTTTCAGAAGGAATGGTACCAGTTCCTCTTTGTACCTGTGGTAGAATTTGGCTGTGAATCCGCCTGATCCTAGACTTTTTTGGTTGGTAGACTATTAATTATTGCCTCAATTTCGGAGCCTGATATTGGTCTATTCAGGGATTCAACTTCTTCCTGGTTTAGTCTTGGGAGGGTGTATGTGTCCAGGAATTTATCCATTTCTACTAGATTTTCTAGTTTACTTGCATACAGGTGTTTATAGTATTCTCTGATGGTAGTTTGTATTTCTGTGGGATCAGTGGTGATATCCCCTTTATCATTTTTTATTGCGTCTATTTGATTCTTCTCTTTTTTCTTCTTTATTAGTCTTGCTAGCGGTCTATCTATTTTGTTGATCTTTTCAAAAAGCTAGCTCCTGAATTCATTGATTTTTTTAAGGGTTTTTTGTGTCTCTATCTCCTTCAGTTCTGCTCTGATCTTAGTTATTTCTTGCCTTCTGCACCAAATCAAGCAGCACTTCAAAAAGCTTATCCACCATGATCAAGTTGGCTTCATCCCTGGGATGCAAGGCTGGTTCAACATATGCAAATCAATAAACATAATCCATCACATAAAGAGAAGCAAAGACAAAAACCACATGATTACCTCCATAGATGCAGAAAAGGCTTTCGACAAAATTCAACAGCGCTTCATGCTAAAAACTCTCAATAAACGAGGTATTGGTGGGATGTATCTCAAAATAATAAGAGGTATTGATGACAAATCCACAGCCAATGTCATACTGAATGGGTAAAAACTGGAAGCATTCCCTTTGAAAACTGGCACAAGACAAGGATGCCCTCTCTCACCACTCCTATTCAACATAGTGTTGGAAGTTCTGGCCAGGGCAATCAGGCAAGAGAAAGAAATAAAGGGTACTCAATTAGGAAAAGAGGAAGTCAAATTGTCCCTGTTTGCAGATGACATGATTGTATATTTAGAAAACCCCATCGTCTCAGCCCAAAATCTCCTTAAGCTGATAAGAAACTTCAGTAAAGTCTCAGGATACAAAATCAATGTGCAAAAATTACAAGCATTCTTATACACCAATAACAGACAAACAGAGAGCCAAATCACGAGTGAACACCCATTCACAATTGCTTCAAAGAGAATAAAATGCCTAGGAATCCAACTTACAAGGGATGTGAAGGACCTCTTCAAGGAGAACTACAAACCACTGCTCAACGAAATAAAAGAGAACACAAACAAATGGAAGAACATTCCACGCTCATGGATAGGAAGAATCGATAACATGAAAATGGCCATACTGCCCAAGGTAATTTACAAATTCAATGCCATCCCCATCAAGCTACCAATGACTTTCTTCACAGAATTGGAAAAAACTACTTTAAAGTTCATATGGAACCAAAAAAGAGCCCGCATTGCCAAGATAATCCTAAGCCAAAAGAACAAAGCTGGAGGCATCACGCTACCTGACTTCAAACTACACTACAAGGCTACAGTAACCAAAACAGCATGGTACTGGTACCAAAACAGAGATATAGACCAATGGAACAGAACAGAGCCCTCAGAAATAATACCACAAATCTACAACCATCTGATCTTTGACAAGCCTGACAAAAACAAGAAATGGGGAAAGGATTCCCTATTTAATAAATGGTGCTGGGAAAACTGGCTAGCCATATGTAGAAAGCTGAAACTGGGTCCCTTCCTTACACCTTATACAAAAATTAATTCAAGATGGATTAAAGACTTAAATGTTAGACCTAAAACCATAAAAACCCTAGAAGAAAACATAGGCAATACCATTCAGGACATAGGCAAGGGCAAGGATTTCATGACTAAAACATTAAAAGCAATGGCAACAAAAACCAAAACTGACAAATGGGATCTAATTAAACTAAAGAGCTTCTGCACAGCAAAAGAAACTACCATCAGAGTGAACAGGCAACCTACACAATGGGAGAAAATTTTTGCAATCTACCCATCACACAAATGGCTAATATCCAGAATCTACAAAGAACTTAAACAAATTTACAAGAAAAAATCAAACACCCCATCAAAAAGTGGGCAAAGGATATGAACAGACACTTCTCAAAAGAAGATATTTATGCAGCCAACAGACACATGAAAAAATGCTCATCATCACTGGCCATCAGAGAAATGCAAATCAAAATCACAATGAGATACCATCTCACACCAGTTAGAATGGTGATCATTAAAAAGTTAGGAAACAACAGGTGCTGGAGTGGATGTGGAGAAATAGGAGCACTTTTACACTGTTGGTGGGACTGTAAACTAGTTCAACCATTGTGGAAGACAGGGTGGTGATTCCTCAGGGATCTCAAACTAGAAATACCATTTGACCCAGCCATCCCATTACTGGGTATATACCTAAAGGATTATAAATCATACTGCTATAAAGACACGTGCACACGTATGTTTACTGCGGCACTATTCACAATAGCAAAGACTTGGAACTAACCCAAATGTCCATCAATGATAGACTGGATTAAGAAAATGTGGCCCATATACACCATGGAATACTATGCAGCCATAAAAAAGGATGAGTTCATGTCCTTTGTAGGGACATGGATGAAGCTGGAAACCATCACTCTGAGCAAACTATCACAAGGACAGAAAACCAAACACTGCATGTTCTCACTCATAGGTGGTAATTGAACAATGAGAACACTTGGACATTGGATGGAGAGCATCACACACTGGGGCCTGTCATGGTGTGGGGGGAAGGGGGAGGGATAGCATTAGGAGATATACCTAATGTAAATGACGAGTTAATGGGTGCAGCACACAAACATGGCACATGTATACACATGTAACAAACCTGCACGTTGTAAACATGTACCCTGGAACTTAAAGTATAATTTTTAAAAATGAGCTTTTTATAAGAATTTGGGACTTTTTAAGCTTTTTAACAAGGTTTGGAAACTACCAAATTAAGCCATTTTGCAAGTCCCAACTCCCAGGTAAAGTATATGAGCTAGATTACCATCAACAACTTTTCTAGTAAAGAAGGCATTAAATGGTCCTATGTAAAGACAAAAATAAATAAATAAAACATAATATGTTATCACTGTAGAAAATTGGGGAAGTACAGAAAAATATAAGACGGAAAAAAAAACTGCATGATATCATCACCCAGAAGAAGCAACTATTAAGTAGCATTCTTCTTTCTAGTTTCTTTGTATGTGTTTTTACATTATTAAGGAAACTACTTTTGAGAGAAATATGACAGAAAAATTATTGGTGAGTGAAATCTAACCTAACTGACTCCATCTTGTTTCTAATTTCACAAGCTAACTGACTTCTTTAACTTTACAGTCCCTTCCAAGAGCCCTCCTTGCTCAGGGATCAAAACTGCCTTTTAAGAGTAATGAAAGAATACAATATTAGCATTAGAGAAGGGACTTGAATTCTGCTAAGATATGGCTTAATGAAATGATAACCAGCATAGTTCCCTTGCTTACCTTTCTATAAGGATTTACTATTTCAGAAGTCAAAAGACGTGTGACTTCCTAAGTGCTCCTATAGATAACATCACTATCGTCAAAACCTCCTAAGATTGGTCTTTGAAATATTTTTCAGACTTTGACATTCTGGCGAATGACTTAACTCTACCCAGACCCATGAGTCATATGAAGGAAGTAATACAACCAGTCCTGAGACCCCCCACCCAGAAACTCACTCAGAGTACTAAGATAATTTGGACACTGCTAAGATTTCATCCCCAACCAATCAGCAGCACCAAATCCCTCTCCCTCAGCCTGCCAAATTACTCTTTAAATCACTAAACTCCAAGCTGTTTGGGAGGCTGACTTGAGAAATGTCTCCCATACTTCCAAACTCCCATACTCCCATACTTCCCACACTTTGCTGGCCCTGTGATTATTAAACTCTTTCTCTACTGTAACACTGCTGTTTCAGCAAATTGGCTCCATCTCTGCAACAGGCAAGAAGAACTGGTCATGCAGTTACATGAATATCTTACTATACATGAATTTCTGGACTGCATTTTTTTAACATCCTATCACAAGCATTTTTAAATAGCATTGTTTTTAATGACACAAAATATCTTTTTCAAAATTTGCTTCAACATTCTAAGTTCATTTAAACTGGAGGGGTTTTTTTAGTTTGTTTTGTATTCAAATCAAGCCCTATTTCATAGTTAATATCACAAATAAAAAATTATTAAATTTCATACTGAAACTCTGAAGAAAATGTCTGGTCCAACTAAGATCCTTAAAAAGCCAACCTTACCCCAGTAAGGCCTGGAGGATAAAATAGCAAAATGAATCCCACCCAAGACATTTATTAATAATTAACCTGTGTGATATTAGACAATTTACATAATTTAAGAGCCTCAGTTTTGACATCTCTAAAATAGGAATCATCAGTACTTACCTTTAAAATTATTTTGACTAAGTTCATAAAGTACATTGATTCATGTACTTGGCAAATATTTGTTGATATAACTCACTATGTGCTAGGCTCTGGGTACAATGGGTAGAAAATGACAAGACAAATGAGACATACATTCTAATAAAGTAGCAGACACTAATCAAACATTCACATAAGTAATTACAAACAGTGACAGGCACTGGAAAAGAAAAGTACAAAACCCAGTGAGATCTTTTTTTTTTTTAAAGACAGCATCTCTCTCTGTCACCCAGGCTGGAGTAAACTGGCATAATCCTAGCTCACTGCAGTCTCAAACTGCTAGGTTTAAGAGATCCTCCTCACATAGCCTCCTGAGTCGCTGGGACTACTCAGATGGAGTCTCACTGTGTTGCACAGGCTGGTCTCAAAATCCTGGCTTCAAGCAATCCTCCAACCTCAGCCCCCCAAACAATGAGATCTTAGGAGAGGTGGACATAATGTTGTCTTGGTTGGGAGCGCTGAAGCCAGGAAAGAGTCCCTAGAAAAGTGATCCTAGAAAAGTCCCTAGAAATAGATTGAGATGGTAAAATTTACTGACTTGGTAAATATCATGAATATCATGGTTGAGAGTTGAAATCTAAGGGGGAAAAAGGTGTCATGATGATGCTTAAGTTTCTAAGGAGCTTTTGAGATAGTCCAGTGACAAGTTCACATGAGTAAGACTTGGGTACCAGGTGAAAGTCTGAACTGTGGATAAAAACTTGGCTGGGTGCAATGGCTCATTCCTGTAATCCTGGCACTTTGGGAGGCCAAGGCAGGTGGATCACTTAAGTCCAGGAGTTTGAGACCAGCCTGGCCAACA
This sequence comes from Homo sapiens, assembly GCF_000001405.40. Lineage (NCBI taxonomy): Eukaryota > Metazoa > Chordata > Mammalia > Primates > Hominidae > Homo > Homo sapiens. Next base: position 40,440,361 of record NC_000007.14, on the reverse strand, counting down.
TTAGCGAAACCCCGTCTCTACTAAAAATACAAAAATTAGCCAGGCGTAGTGGTGCATGCCTGTAGTCCCAGCTACTTGGGAGGCTGAGGCAGAAGAATCACTTCAACCCGGGAAGCAGAGGTTGCAGTGAACTGAGATCAGGCCACTGCACTCCAGCCTGGGCAACAGAGCAGGAACCAGTCTTAAAAAAAAAAAAAAAAAAAAAAAAAAAAAAAACACACACACACAGACAAAAAACTTGACTCATTTGCTTATTATCTATAATTGAAGTCATCACATGGACCAAATCATTTAGGAAGAAAGTTCACACTGCAGAGTAGGAAAAAAAGGGAGTTAAGTGAGGAGTCTGAAGGCCTCTCCCATTTGAAATCCAGGCAGAAGTACTCAGAGCGTAAGATGAGGACTGAAGAATGCCTACAAAGTAGACTTCCATTACATCAGCAAGAGGTGTCTGGTGTCATGATGCGAACAGAATGCAGTTTGACATGAATCACGGACTCCATAACTGTTAAGGAAAGGGAGCAAGCACACACAGACATCTGTTTGAGCAGTCTGGCTGTGAAGCGCAGGGATGAGCACGGACTGAAAGCACAGCATGAGCATGGCTGCAGATGGAGTTCCCATGTCGAGGAGGACTCAGGAAGTTCCCACTGGATGCTTCTACCTTCTTATTAACTGAGAGAAGATTGGGGAGTTATGAGAATGAAAGACTAAAAAAGAGTAGAGAAGTTCTGACATATCACTGAAGACAGTGGCGTAGCACCGGGACCAGTTAACACAACTGGAATACTGACATGTTGAGAGCCCAACTGAGTGACTTTCTCTATCATCTCTCAGCTATCCAGACATAGACTAAAGTATATTTACATTCACTAGCTTTAGGATGTTGCCAGATGGATATGACAAAAAGATATATGTGTAGGAAAATCCGCCAGAATGTTACTGAGCAATGAGCCACAGACTAGCTGCATAAGAAAGAAAGTGGTAAAGATAGGAGATTATGGCTAGGCATGGGGAGGTGTCTCAGTGGGTCAGAAGTCCTGATGAGGTGTAGGAGTAGTCACGATGGGAGTAGCTGAATAAGTAAGGTGAAAGAACAAGAGACGATGGATGGTTAGAATGTAGAATGCTTCAATCAGTGATTAAAGGAGTGAGGCAGGTTCGGGTTATGCCTAGAGATCCACAGTGTGAAGTACATAAAATAGTTGCTGCTATGAGACAGCAGCAACTCTCTCTCTCTCTCTCTATCCATATATATATATATATATATATATATATATATATATATATATATATACACCATATATATACCATATATATATATACCATATTATATATACACACACACAATTTCTACATATATACTTTCTATATATACAGTAGTATATTATAGTATATTATAATTATTATATAATTACTACTGTACTTGGTCCCACAAGAAAGGAACTCCTCAGTGAATTCTAAGCCCTTAGGTCTTGACTCCCAGGCCTTCACTGGCCCTGCAAATCACTCCTCCTTCTCTTCTCCTCATTCTGTTGGTTGCCTCACTCTAACAGAAAGCAAACCAGGTGATAACATGCCGTGCACACACACCACTACCAGATTCTTTATCACAGGGAGAGCTCAAATCATACGCAGCGAATTGGGCTGTAAACAGTCAGGACTGTCTCCTGTAAGAAATTCAAGAAACAATTGCTTCTGAATGAAATGATGTGGGGAGACAGCAGCAAGGGCAAGTGTCTAGAATTTTTAAAGGACAAGGTCAAAACCAAGCATTGCCTCACAGGAGACCAGATTGTATTACTCCCGAAGAAAGACATCCTTCTCACTAGAAGCTGTGCAAATTCTGGCACAACAAAATTCACTGATAGGGAAACCAAACACAAATGCACATTTTCATCATACGCTCATCGTGAGAAACCTCCTCTCCTGGAGAGGGAGATCTTTTACAAGACTGAGAAAATAATGATGGGTCAAGGAATTTGATGACACGACAAAACTAAAGAACTTCATGATCAAACTAGGAGACACAAAAGGAGAGGGAATGGAGGTTCAGTGTTTAGTTTCTCTATTTAGAGCAGCTCCACACAGAAGATGTGACCACCCCTGAGATATAAGATACAGAAGTGCAGACTGTGGAGCAGATGTGAAGGCGGGGAATTGAGAAGGTCAATTGAGAATTTCTGCTGCTCCTGGAAGTTTCTACTCCTTCCCAGGGACTTTGCTTTCTGGGCTTCCAGGCATGTTAGCCTCATTTGATGACATCCTAATTATAAAGCTGACTAAAGATGAAAACATAGGGGTTTCAGAAGTCCATGTCAACACAATATATCATATAATCAAGTGGGAAAAGAAAAAAATGTACAACTCGAAGTTCCTATGTTATCTTCTTAAGTTACTTCATCAGTGCATCTAGTATTTTCCCTGGCTTAAATAAAATACAAAAAATTTGTAGTATGTCTACTTCAAAACAAGAGCATAAACTTCAAGGCTTCCCAGGGCTACTTACTTTTTAACAAGATTTTCTTCCACAAAAGGTAACCATTGCTAAATGACTTCATCACCCACTGGAAAAAGACATTCCATGAAGTTTAACTTACCGCCATGAGAATGTTTTCTGGAATGCCAAGCAGTTATTGACTTCTGGGTCTGTGCTAGTACATCATGACAAACATAGAGCACTATTTCCTACCACTGACAGTTCAGTTCACCTTATGGCACTGGAACTGGGCTGAGCCAGATGGCAATGAGGCACAGACTGCTCTGCTTACAAATTAAGAACAGTGTCATCTATGGATGGAACAATGCCACAAATGGTAGATGAGCCCTGGAGTCTCCAACTTCACCTACTACCAATTTGGCATTGGCAGGACATTTTTTACATGGAACAAACCATGTTGAGAGCTCATTGCTAAATATAAGCCCTTGCTTTGAATTAGGTAATTCTAGAGTAACCTTGAAAGCAACATTATATACTGATTTCCTGCCCCAGATCCAGGCTAGGTTTTGCTAATTCCATAATAGGAAATTGGAATGCTCACATATATCCTTGAGGTTCCTCAAATAAATTAAATTTTACTTCCAATCCAACATATGTAGGATTTTCAATCACTCCATTTCTGATACTGGGTGTGGAGGTAATGACAAGGAGGGAAATGGGCAACTGCCTCATATATTTTCTATTCTTTACGTGTTGTCAATGGATATTATTTTTCTCATAAAGAAAACTTTGTGTGAAGAAAGCCTAGAAAGCCTGCTGTTATTCAAGAAGGCAGTTATCATGTATCTTGGGCACAAGGTAAAATGACACAGAGTTTTTCTTCCTGAGGAATATAGGCCAAAAACTGGTTTTAAGAAACCTGAACTAACTGTATTATAAAGAATGCTAAGCCAGATTATTTTGAATAGCCTGCCAAAAGCAGCTACTGCTTCACAGAAACTATGCAAAAAAAATTCTAGACAAGAGACCATATTGATTTTTCAGCAACACCCCAAGGTAAAAATTCCAAAAGAATGCTAAGCCAGATTATTTTGAATAGCCTACCAAAAGCAGCTACTACTTTATAGAAACTACACAAAAAATGCTAGACAAGGGACCATATTGATTTTTCAGGAACAACCCAAGGTAAAAATTCCTTGAGCGTATGAAATATTTTTAAGTACTCTTTGTTGTATCTCAAACATGTTACAATAATCACAGTTCTGTACCATCTATGTACCATATATGAAAATATCATTTCTGACAAAGCCTACATTTACCTCAGACTAAAGGCATTTATAGAACAGAGCTTTAGTCAAGCTGTCACCACATTTCACTACCTACAAGCAAAGAATCAAGCTAGAAAAAAATAGTAACTATAGTTACAATAAAAATATTCTAAATTGGCTTATATAGTGTATTGCCAATAATGTTTCCCAAGCATATCTGTTCATCATATCTCTGGATTTATCAATGAGAAAACACAGAGTATACATAGTGAGACAGAGATTGGGGGAGGCCCTGAAATTAGGCCTGCCCACTAGACCTAAAGTGGCATTAGAGTACAGGCCCAGGTGACAGCAGAGTTTCATCCCAGAGTATGGAAAATTTGAGTAAGTGCAGTACTAGGAAGCAGTCATGGCCAGGTATGGTGGCTCAAGCCTGTAATCCCAGCACTTTGGGAGGCAGAGGTGGGAGGATCACCTGAGGTCAGGAGTTTGAGACCAGCCTGGCCAACATGACGAAACCCTGTCTCTACTAAAAATACAAAAATTAGCTGGGGGTGGTGGCGCGCACCTGTAGTCTGGCTACTCAGGTGGCTGAGGCAGGAGAATTGCTTGAACCTAGGAGGCAGAGGTTCCAGTGAGCTGAGATTGTGCCACTGTACTCCAGCCTGGGTAACAGAGCAAGACTCCATCTCAAAAAAAAAAAAAAAAGAAAAGAAAAGAAAAGAAAGCAGTCAGCAAGATAAAGTATGGCATATGGGAGATGAAAAATTTTGATAGCAAAAGTCTTGAAACTCACAGTAGTTAAATGGCCCAAGAGATATATAGAGAGTCACAGGCTGCAGGATCCCAGATATGAGGATGAGGCTCAGAAACTCAGCACCAAATTCTCATATAAGGAATTGTGATAGCAAGGCAAAGCGTGGAGGGACAGGAACCAGACAGTTAACTCAATGAGAAACTCAGAGAATATAGGCAAAAGCAGAAGCCCAAGCCATTGAACAAAGGTAGAGCAAGCATGGAGAGTGAGCTCTGGGGAGGGTAGGTGGCTGAATATCAGATAAGAGCAACTTAAATGCTAGTTCAAGATGCTAGTTAGTTAAGCGTCTAAGACAGTATCTGGGATATTAGAACCCAATACACTTTTTAAATCAATGTCAATGTGTCACAGCAACCCAGGTAATTCAGGAAATATGAGACATTATAAGCCTTGGTGGCAAAACTGTAAGCATAAAATAGAGGAGAGTTTCAGAGAATCAAAGATAAGGACCAACTGAAAAAGGCAAGCATGCTAACAATAGATTCCCCAAACTTCCTTCCTCACAGATGATCACCCAAGTTTAAGGATGAATATTAGTTAAAGTGACATGCTGAATATACTTCTATCAGGATTTATAGGTATGTCCTATAGTTGGAACAATGAGGACCTCAGTCCTTCTTATTAGATACTTCTCATTCTTCTTACCATGGCCAAAAGTTGGCCTTGAAGCATAGAGGGTCAGCCTTTGTACCCTTTCCACATAGCTACTACCAAGTAATAGGATATACACTGATAATAAAATATATTTGCCATCCAAATTTGGGTTCCTGTACAGAGGGTTGGAATCTAAAGTATACAGACTCTCAAAACATCTTTCGGCTTGGCGAACTATGGGAAGTGTGAATGGCTACTCAGCTCATTCAGCAGAAAATGAGTCCTTATGGGAGGGTCCTGCTGACCCACAGCAGCAGGTGAAATTCTCATGGAGTAACCAAATATTAAAACAAGTCAACCCCAGCATCAGAAAAAGCATAGGGGAAGGCTCTATCTGATATATGTATAGACATTTATAACTGAAAAAAATGATGGAAAAGGTAGCAGGCAACAAGCACCTGGCAGGACCTTGAGGAGACTGCCATATTCCAGGGTCTGGACTTGTTCTTTATAGGACTCACTTCTTGTACTGGATGATCAGATCTGGAAGCCTAACTCAAGGCATCTAAAATGCATGTGAGATTAAGATAGATACCAGAAGGATAAATTACTACTATATGATTAGAAAGAACTATATGATAAGCCACAATACTTAAAGACTATATGACTAATTCTTTTCTTGGGAAACTAATAATTAGAAGGTAAAAGATCACAGACATGAGCATGGTTTAAGTTCTTCCTTCTCAAGTCCCCATGAATCTGGATATGAAGTTCAGCCTGAATCTGCCAATGAAAAAATCATTACACCATTCTATGTGTGACTATAGGAAGAGAAAAAAAAAATGGGACCAGCCTTATTCAACAGAAGGAACCATGATAAACTGCTAGAAGATTAAGGTCTCCAAATGTACCTCAACTATTGAACTCTATGAAATACAAGAAAAAACAAGATACAATCTGAATAGTATTCTGTACATACCTTTCAATCATTAGTTACTCAAAAGAATTGGACTCACATGGGCACATCTACCATGATTAAGGTCATGAGAGTGTTATGTAAGGTTTGCAACAAAATTTAGACCAACTAGGAAGTTATCCCTTCCAAAGTAAGTTAACAGCAGAATAAATGGGAACATTCCTCCAAAACAACACGAAAAAAATTTAGTAAGTCATCCTAGTAGGTCACAAGGTGAAGAAAGCAATAATTATTTCCAGATCTCTAAAACCACTTATAATAACATATGTGGTATGTATATGCCCGCCCCAAAGTTATTATAACAGGTTATATTAGTTAAAAGATCAAGGGTAGCCAAGAAATTCTGTTTGATTTTAGAGTTCATTTATCTGTGTGAGTAATTATTATATTTCAGTTTCTCTGGGATTCCTGTTCTATAAATAAAGGTGGAGAATATGTAAATATTTTTATGCACAATAACAGAATGTGCTGAAAATAATTTATCTTTGCATGCCTCCCCAAATACTATAATTCTTCTTCCCAATTACATTAGATACGTTTAATTTCTATTCCACCCCAAACACCTTAAAGAAGCAGCTCTATACATCATGCAACTGAGCATTCCTCTTCCCTGGTTGAAGAGAATAGCATGAGCACCACTCCCATGCCAGCCAGTAGGTTTACTTGGCACAAATCAACTGCATCAGCTTGAAGATTCAAAAGGAAACAGGAAGGTGGAGATGAGATGGCCATATTCGGCTTAACTAAGTAAGACCAAAAGACTAATAAACTCTAAAACTGAGACAAGACTACAAAATAGAAATAGAGATATGGACTAAGCAACTGCCTCATTCCTAATGGCATCTTACATCTTGTGAATCTGAATTATATGTCACATACTTTTTGAAACATGTGGATATCAACAAGAAGTTATAAGACAAAAAAAAAAAGAAAAAAAGAAAACATGACCCAATCAAAGGACCAGAATAAATAACAAACAAACCTAAAGAAGCAGAGGCATATCAATTACCTGACAAATAATTCAAAATAATCATCACAAGGATGTTCAATGGCCTCAGGAAAACGATACATAAACAAAATGAGAAGCTCCACAAGGAGACACAACACATAATGAAGAACCAGACATTTTGGACCTGAAGAAAACAATCCCTAAATTGGAAAATTGACTACAGAGATTCAATAGCAGACTTGATCAAGCATAAGAAATATTCAGCAAACTCAAAGATGGGTCATTGTAAATTATCACATCAAGGAAGCAAAAAGAAAAAAGAATGAAAAAAGAGAATAAAGCCTAGGGACTTACAGAATACCATCAAGCGGATCCATAGGCACATTATATAAGTTCACAAAGAAGAAGGAGAGAGAGAGAGAGAAAGGATAAAGTACTTATTTGAAGAAATAATGGCTAAAAACTTCCCAAAATCAGGGAAGGAAATAGACATCCAGATTCAAGAAGCCCAAAACTCATGAACTAAAATAAACACAAAGAAATCTACACTGCAATACATTGAAATTAAATTGTCCAAAGACCAAGACAAAAGGAGAATTTTGATTTTTTTTTTTTTTTTTTTTTTTTTTTTTGAGAGGGAGTCTCACTCTGTTGCTCAGGCTGGAGTGCAGCGGCACAATCTTGGTTCACTGCAACATCCACCTCCCGGGTTCAAGCAATTCTCCTGCCTCAGCCTCCCGAGTAGCTGGGATTACAGGTGCCCACCACCATACCCAGCTAACTTTTGTATTTTTAGTAGAGATGGGATTTCACCATGTTGGTCATCCTGGTCTCAAACTCCTGACCTCGTGATCTGCCCACCTCGGCCTCCCAAAGTGCTGGGATTACAGGCGTAAGCCACCGCACCTGGCCAAGGAGAATTTTGAAAGCAGCAAGATAAAATTGACTCATTATGTACAAAAGAGTCTCTATAAGACTATCAGTGGGTTTGTTCAGCAGGAACCTCACTGACCAGAAGGGAATAGGATAATGTATTGAAAGTGCTGAAAGAAAAATTCTAACCAAGAATACTATGTCAGCAAAAATATCCTTCAAAAATGAGGAAATCTATAGAAGGAAAGTTCCTCAACATAATAAAAGTCACTTCACTTTTGAAAAACCCATAGGTAAAATTATAATCAATTGGGAAAAACTGAATGTTTTACACTAAGATCCAAAACAAAGCAAGGATGCCCAATCTCATCACTTCTATTCAACATAGTACTGAAAGTACTAGAAAAAACAGTCAGACAAGAAAAAGAAATAAAAGACATCCACATCACAACAGAGGAAGTAAAAATATCCCTATCTGCAGATAACATAATCCTATATGGGGGAAAAAACCAACAATGATTCCACCTAAAAGAAACTATTACAATTAATACACAAATTCAGTAAAGTTGCAGGATATAAAATCAACAAACAAAAACTATCAGCATTTTATACACAAATAACAAATTAAAAAGACATTTTTAAAAATCCCATTTATGACGGCATAAAAAATAAAATATCTAAATAGAACCAACACTGAGAATGCCAATAAAATACAAACTGACCTTTAAAGAGTTTACACCATTTACAATAACATGAAAAACAACAAAATACTTAGGAATAAATTTAACAAAGGCAGTGAAAGAACTCTACACTGAAAATTATAAAATACTGCTTAAAGAAACTGAAAACAGAATAAAAGAAAATATAGCCTATGCTCATGGATCAGAAGAATTAATATTCTTAAAATGTACATGCTGCCCAAAGCAATATACAGATTTCAATAAAATTCCTATCAAAATCCCAATGGCATTCTTCACAGAAATAGAAAAAAAATACTAAAATTCATATGGAACCATAAAAGACCCCAAATAGCCAAAACAATTCTGAGAAAGAAAACAAAGGTGGAAGCATCACACTTCCTGATTTAAAATTATATTACTAATCTATAGTAGTAAAAACACTAGATATTGCCTTAAAAACAGACACACAGACCAGTGGAAAATATAGACAACCCAGAAATACTGAATAATACCAAACATATGCTGTCAACTAATTTTTCCCAAGGGCACAGAGAAGACAAAATGGGGAAAGGATAGTCTCTTCAATAAATGGTGCCAGGAAATTCAGTATCCACAGGCCATTAACTTTTTTTTTTTTTTTTTTTTTTGAGACGAAGTCTCACTCTGTTGCCCAGGCTGGAGTGCAGTGCTGTGATCTTGGCTTACTGTAACCTCCGTCTCCTGGGTTCAAGAGATTCTCGTGCTTCAGCCTCCTGTGTAGCTGGGATTACGGGCATGTGCCACCACGCCCAGCTAATTTTTGTATTTATTTTAATAGAGATAGGGTTTCATCATGTTGGCCAGGCTGGTCTCGAACTTCTGACCTCCAGTGCTGAGGCCCGCCTCAGCCTCCCAAAGTGCTGAGATTACAGGTGTTAGCCACAGTGCCCGGCCCACAGGCCATTATCTTATCCCTGAAAAAAATAAACTAAAAATGGGTATAAGACCTAAATATAAGATCAGAAACTCTAAAACTCCTAGAAGAGAACATAGGCAGTAATTTGTTTGATATCACACCAAAAACTAAGGAAAAGCAAAAATTAATAAATTAGACTACATCAAACTTAAAAGATTCTGCATAGCAAAGAAAACCATAAACAAAACAGACCAGCAACTTAGAGATTGGGAAAACAATCTATGCAAAACATATATCTGATAAGAGGTTAAGATCTAAAATTGATAAAGAGTTCACGCAACTCAATAATGGAAAACAACCTGATTTTTAGAAGGCAAAAAGCTTGAACAGGTATTTCTCTAAAGAAGACATAAAAATAGCCAACATGTACATTAAAAGGTGCTCAAAAACATTAATCATCAGGAAAATGCAAATTGAAACCACTATGAGATACTGCCTTACAACCATTGGGATAGCTACAATCAAAATGTCAAAAGATAACAAATGTTGGTAAGAGTGTGGAGAAAGGAGAACTCTTGTATACCATTGGTGAAAATATAGATTGGTACAGCTGTTATGAAAAGCAGTATGGACATTTCTTTAAAAATTAAAAATAGAACTAGCATATGACCCAGTAATCCCTCTTCTGAGCATATACCCAAAGGAAATGAAATCACCATCTTGTGAAGATACCTACACTCCCATGTTCATTGCAGCATTAGTCACAATAGCCAAATATGGAAATAATCTAATGTTCATCGATAAATAAAGAAATGGTAGTACCTACACAAAATATTATATTGTTCAGCTTTTAAAAAAGAACAAGAACTTGCGAAATGCCACAACTTAGATAAGCCTGGAGGATATCATGCTAAGTGAAATAAGTCAGACACAGAAAGAAAAATATTGCATAATCTCACTTAATATGTGGCATCTAAATTTCTAAAAATCCAATTATATACAGAGATACAGAACAAAAGAGAGGGTACTATGTGTGATGGTTAATATTAAGTGTCAACTTGATTAGATTGAATGATGCAAAATATTTTTCCTGGGTGTGTCTGTGAGGATATTGCCAAAGGAGATTAACATTTGAGTCAGTGGGCTAGGAGAGGCAGACCCACCCTCAATCTGGGTGTGCACCATCTAATCAGCTGCCAGCGTGGCTAGGATAAAAGCAGGCAGAAGAATATGGAAGGAATAAACTGGCTGAGTCTCCTGGCCTCCATCTTTCTCCCGTGATGGATGCTTCCTGTCGTCAAACATCGGACTCCAAGTTCTTCAGCTTTTGGACTCGTGGACCTTTGACCACAGACTGAAGGTTGGCTGCACTGTCAGCTTCCCTACTTTTGAGGTTTTGGGACTTGAACTGGCTTCCTTGCTCCTCAGCTTGCAGACAGCCTATAGTGGGACTTCACCTTGTGATCGTGTGAGTCAATACTCATTAATAAACTCCCCTTTATATATACATCTATCCTATTAGTTATGTCCCTCTAGAGAACCCTGACTAATACACCATGCATGGGAAGAAGGGAAGACAATACAGAGATGCAGTTCAGAGGATACAAAATAGCAGATATACAGGATTAACAAGTTAAGAGATCTAATGTACAACATAAATACTATAGGTAATAAAATTGTACTGTATATGAGATTCATGCTAAATGTGTAGATTTTAGCTGCTCTTGCCACAATAACAAAAAAAAAACGGTAATTATGTGAGATGATGGATATGTTAACTTGCTTCACTATAGTAACCATTTTATTCTCTATATGTATCCCATAACATCATGCTGCATACCTTAAATATACACAATTAAAATTTTTATTTTAAAAAGAAAAAAAGGAGGAGAAATAAGAACTGTCCCAGATAAAAGCTGAGGGAATTCTTTACTACTAGACCTGCGTTACAAGAGGTATCCTCTCAATATCTGCCTTAAATGGAGTCCACCAAGGTAAAAGGAAAGGACATTAGATAGCAATATGAAACAGTGTGAAAGTTTAAAGCTCACTGACAAACATATAGACAAACAAAGAATACTGTAATACTGTAACATTGGTATGTAAACCTTTTAATGCTGGTAAAGAAGTTAAAAGTTGTAAGCATAAAAAACAACCATGACAATAAAACAGGTTAATGGATACACAGTATAAAATAGCTGTAAGGTGTGACATCAATAACATAAATGGGTGGAGACAATATAGTTTTAGTATGCAATTAAAGTTGTTATCAGCTTAAAATGTATTGCTATGTTTTACATAAGGCCCACAGGACACACACACACACACACACACACACACACACACAGCAGAGACAGAGAAAGAGAGAGAGCAACTACAAAAATAAATTAAACACAAAGGAATACAACAAGACAGGAAAACACGGGGATAAGCTACAAGCCAGACAGAAAACAATTTAAAAGTGACAAGGTAAGTCCTTCCCTATTGGTAATTACTTTAAATGTCAATGGATTAAACTCCCCAATCAAAAGACATTAAAGTGCCTGAATTCCAAATTTCAAAAATCCAACTATATGCCGTCTACAACAGATTCATTTTAAATTTAAGGACACACATAGGCTGGAAGTGAATGGATGAAGAAAGGAATTTCATGCAAATGTCAACTAAAAGAGGGCAGAGGTAGCCATAATTACATCAGGCAAAATAGATGTTAGGTCAGAAACTGTCACAAGAGACAGAGAAGGACATTACAGAACAAAAGGGTCAATTTATCAGGAAGATACAGCAATTATGAAAATATATGAAACAAGCACTGATGGAGCAAAAGGAAGATAAAGAGAACACCACAATAATACTAGATTTCAATAACCCATTTTCAATCTCGAATAGAACATTCAGACAGATAAGAGGAAACAAGACTTGAAGAACACTATGGAATAAATGTACCTCACAGGCATACAGAGAGCCTCCTACCCTGCATCAGAATAGGCATTCTTCTCAAGAACCACTGGAATATTCTCCAGAGTATGTTAGGGCATGAAACAAAATATCCAAACCATATCACTCCCCATCTTCCTTCTTTGACTCTCCCTTCCCAGATGTCATATCCTGCATTACAATCGGAAGGCCTCTCTGCCTATTCTTGCTCCATAGGAATTCCTCCCAGTGAGCCCCTGGCATGGGACATTCAGCCTTGTCGTCTTCTGCTTCTCGGAGAACCCAAACCACCACAATGACTGATTATGAGGTTAAAATAAAAACCGAGGTGGAACTAAATACTGAAAAACAACAATATGCAAACTGAGGAATGAGTGGAGTTCAAACATTGCTCATAATGTTTCAAAGGAACATAAAGACAACTATTTAACAATTAAAGTTTTTTAAAGTAATCACTGAAAAATAAACAGAATATACAATGTCCACACTATGTTAAGGGGGAAATGACATTGACTTTGAAGTTGGACAGAGCTGAGTCTGAATCCCAGTACTGCCACTGACTTAGCAGTGTGACCCTAGACGAGTCACAGAACTTTAGTTATGTCTTGTATAATATATAAATAACGACCATCTTATAGAACTTTGTGAGAATTATCCATAGAGGATCATAATTATTATCACTTGTTTTCATAAAATAAACCCAAATCCCTTAACTAGACATTTGGAACTCCCCACAGTTTAATCTTGATTAGCCTGTCCAATCTCTCTGCTCAAAATTCCTGGACATATATGTCTCAATCAAAATTTAAAATGTGCTATTCTTAGCTGGGTTGTATGGCTCATGTCTGTAATCTCAATGCTTTAGAAGGCTGAGGCAGGAGGATCACTTGAGGCCAGTAATTCAAGACCATTCTGGGCAATAGGGTGGAGACTTTGTCTCAAAAAATGTTTAAAAATTAGCTGCATGCCTGTAATTCTAACAAGTTAACAAGTCAGAAGGATGAGGCAGGAGGATTGCTAGAGTCCAGCAGTTTGAGGTTACAGTGACTTATGATTGCAACACTGCACTACGACTTGGGTGACAGAGCAAGACCCTATCTCTTAAAAAAAATTAAAAATTAAAAAATAATAAATTAAATGTGCCATTCTTAAAATATATATATTCTTTTCTACTTCTGTACCTTCTACTCATACTTTGTCCCCAACTATTTCCATAAACTTTCACTTATCATAAACCCAGAGATTCTGTAGTATTATAAAACCTTAAGGGCCTGAAATCTAATTCCAGAATCCCCACAGTGTGGCTGTCTTCCATCTATGGAAACACCTTCGGTGATGTAAAAGTCAATACCATCCAAAGTAACCAAGTTCTTAAACGGATATTTCTGCTCATCTGAAGAGGTGCTTTATTTTAAATTAAAATCAGCCTCTATGTAGCTTCTCTTCCTGGAAGTAGTTTTTAATTACTTGAGGACATAGAGAATAAGTCATCTTTCTAAAAGATTCCAGAATGAAAGCCCACTGGTGAATGTTGAATCTAATCAGGATAGGGTCACTGAAATTTGTCTTAGAGCCTGGTAAGTCTGAGATATATCCAGCTGACACGCATATACCATAAATCATAACAGTCTCCGTGCTATAATCAAACCAATTATCTACCTTGTTGGTTCCTTCATGGGAGAGGTTTCTGCCTCAGTTTCTCCAGTAAGTACCCCCAAGACTTGTTTGGACTAAAATGTTATCCTAAATTGTGGGTGACTGAGCTTGGACTCTGAATACCGAGTAACTTCTCTCAGTCCTTTCTCAAGGAATAGAGCTTATCTCCCTGTAACAAGTCTCTTACTGTGAAGAGACTGATCACCTGGAATTATAGTGGTAGCTTTAAGTTATTAAGTGATTAAGATATGTGCCAGACATTATAATAAATTCATTTTATCAATTACTTTGCATGATCATCAGCACAACCATAAGATATATGTATTATTATAAATTTACTGTTGAGGAAACAGAAGCGCTGAAAGATAAGCAACTTCCCCAAGCATTCATTAACAAGGCTTCCCTGGAACTAAGGTGCAATTGCTTGTCTGACTTTGAATCTGCTATCCCACTACTTGGAACCCCACCAGATACTGCCTTTCTGGTTTAACCTGATATCCTTGGATAATTGTTATGTGAACATACCTGAGATCACAATATCCATTATCAATGGCGTATGGCTCCATCTAGGTAATTCCACAAGGGCAGTCTCTGTTACCAGGTAAGGATCCCCACAACTAAGGCTCCCCACCAATCTTTCCTTTCAGCAGAAAGCTGAGAGTCACTTTGTAGACCCCAGCACCGCCTCTCATAAGTTTTAAAAAAACAAAAAAGCTTAATTGTGTCTGAAACAGGTTTTCATTTCTCTTCCCAAAATGTTATGGAGTTGAAGACAAGAGATCAGGATTCCGACACTAACTTACTATATGGCCTTGAGCAAATCACTTAAATTGGTCAGGTGGCAGTTTTTTTACCTATAAATTTAGGGTGTTAGACAAGTCCCTTCCAGCTATAAAATTCTGTGATTTCACGATCAAACATGAGATCCTGATAGGAGGATTGTAATAAAACAGTAAAAAAATAAAGAAAATGGTCTGGAATAGAAGATCTTGCTTATTTTATTATGAGTGTTTGGGGCCATGTTTACATGCACTTAGAGACATTTAAAATGAGGACATTTTATAAGGTAAGAAACAAGAAGGCCCTCACACACACACAATATTTAAACTGTGGCTCCACAGTTCACAACACCTTCATCATGTATAAATAGAACATAGCATTTACAACCACTTACACTGTAATATATTTCTTTTGGCTGAGAGAAATGTTCAACTACATGAGTTTCTGAGAACACTGACTTTTTTCTTTATGTTGTTGGGTAAAGTAATGCTATTTTATAAAGACATGGGGTCCTTACGTACCCACTCTATTACTGTGTTTTTTGTAAATAATTACAATAGCTCCCATTCATTGAGTACCTACCATTGGGTCTGACTCTATGCTTGGCAATTTACATACATAATCTTATTCTTCAATAAGTCTACAAAATATGTATAATTATCACACTTTCCTCATAAAAAAACCAATCCTCAGAAAGAATGGTAGCTTAGTTGAACAACTGTTAAATAAGAAACCAGGATGAGAACCTAAGTCTGTCAAACTCTGCTCTGCCATTTTGCCTCCAAAACAATTTAAAATAAATCTACTCACTATTTAAATAATAATAGTAGTTAAATTTATTAAATCATTATTACCTGATAACCGATTTGAGCCCCGTGGCAACTTCATCGGCTACGAATTATTATAGGTATGGAAACTGAAACATATAGAAGTAAAGTGACTTGTCCAGAGTTACACAGCTTAAAAAGATTAATGCTCACAAACCCCTACCTCCAAATCACCTAAAATCTGATAGAACCTCAAGATCCAGAAGAAAAGTACTCATTTATTCTCATGTTTCACAAATAGATACCTAGGATTCTTAGATTATTCAGGCAGTGCTTATAGAATTTCAAATAAATCATGAAATTCTTCTACTGCTCTCCACACACCTACACACATATCAAGTATGTGCAAAAAGAAATGGCCTTCCAGGCGCTGACATACTCCAATACTTTTGTCACCATCTCAATTCTTCATTCTATACCTTGCTCCCTTTCTTTATGAAAACTACATAAGCCCCTGTGCTGAAAACAGTGAGGCTAGTAATAACAATAGTGCTTATTTAAATGATTTTAACTGATTATCTTGGACTCGACTGTTTTTAACATTTGAGGAACTATCCAACCACGGCAGAGTATGCCTTAAAATGTAAATGCCAAAAAATAATTTACAGGGGAAAGTATGATAGATTGACCACTTTAAGATCCTAAAACTTTTTTTTTCTTATTGAAAATGATTATCAGTTGTCTGTTACCAGTCCAAAGAGAGACACATAACAAATATTTTGTCAAAAAAATTAGAAAAACTTGAAAACAGGGACCTGAAATAATATATGGCCAGTTGTAATGTGTTTTAAATATCATAAAGTTTATGATAAACCTTAATTCCAAATAAACCCCTTGATGTTGTAAACATACACTGTGTTGGTGTGTTTAAAAAATTTATACACAGAATCAAATTCTCCATTGCAACATTAATTTTCCATTACCTTTTCAATAGTATCCTGTGAAAACATACACATATAGAAGATGGATAGTTTATGATAGCAACACATTGGAGCCAGTGTAATGAGGTTTATGTCAATGTTTCCATTTAAGCTACTTTTTTTTCAGTAGGTTAATGACTGGACCATAAAAATGCAATTAAGTGAAATCTGGCAAGTGTGTTCTTAGTAAAAATTTTTTTTAAGTGAAAAGAAATGGAAAGCAACGGCTGACCATTTGGAAAAAGATTTTTAAAAATTATGTTGAGGAACAGGTACTGTAAAGCAAAGTTATATAATAGCTTTTGGTTACTTAAATTGATAAATATATTCTGGGAATTTATTGCCAAATAAATTTAGTCACATCTCTTCCTATAAAATAGTCTATGATTTCAGACAGTTTGACATGTACTTTCTTAGTGAATATGACATGCATCAGCAGTAACATTAATATCTTTCCACAGACACTAATCACAGTATTTGGAAGTCCAGCTATTCCTAAAAGGGTGGGTTCCTAAAAGTAATAATGAAATTAAATAAGAAATGAGACTCCATTTAAAATTATACCTCTGATAACTGTTAGCAGAGATGGGAATATAGGCCAGAAGTTGAAGCCACATAGGTAAAGCTGTCAGTTCTGCCAACTGATAGTTTCTGTCACCCAGGCAAGCTATTTAACCTCTCTGTGCCTCAGGCATCTCATTTTGAAACTGATAATAAAATTATGTAGAACCTATCTCATAGGATCCATTCATTCATAACATTCAGCATCTATGAGCAAGTAGCACTTAAATTAGTTTTTCTGAAACTTGCTTTATTTAAAGATAATATAAGTATTATTAAATCATGGAACATTTCTCAAAATGAAGAATGAAGTAGTAGAGATTCTTAGTGATTATATGTTTTAGGGAGTTGGTGGTTTTTTTTTTTTTGGACAACTGGTTAATTCTCTAAAATGGCAAGGATAAAGAGTAGCAAATCATCTCAAATCACAGTAATTACATGGCTATTACAAAACATCTGCTTAGTTTAAATGTGATAAATTAACAAATCTACCCAAGACACCTGATGTTTAATTCAACAAATATTCATTGAGTGCCTACTTTATTTAAGGACAACACCAAAGGTTACATTGTATACAGATTGACTGAAATGTCCTGGAAAGAGTAAAAACTACAAGTTTAGGATTCTGATGTGAAGAGAAAAGAATGCATTCTAAGTAAAGAAAAAAGACATTTGCAAATGTGGCATATACAATGCCAGACAAAAGGATGAAAGATAGTGGGAAATGAGGCTGGATGAGAAGGCATTGGCCAAATTGTAAAACGACCAAGAAAATTTTTATACAAGATTCCATGGAAGACATGTTGAGATTTTCCATAGGATTAAATGAAATAATATATATGGTAACTTTTAGCAGTGATTGCCCCAATACCAACAACTCAAAAATGCTAGTCAATAAATAATTGCTTTATTGAAAATTTAATTACACCCTATTCTAAATACTGACAAAATACTGCCAACATATAAACACAGGACCACACAACAGAATTCCACCCCACCCCCACCACATTGCAGTTAGCTTATATTACAAATTTAAGACTGATTTAGAAGCCTTTAAATCCACCTTAATTGTGTTCCACGAGATTTTGGAGATTAAAAAAAAAAAAAAAGGTACAAACAGTCCCGTGAAACATGTAGGCCTGGACTTGATCTGAGGACAAATGACATTAAGTGGTAGACATTAGAGGGAAAATGTTAGACACCGGATCACCAAAACATCACTAATGTCTTAACACCTAAGGGAAAGAGTTGGGGCAAGGTAAATGGCCCAAAGCTAGAAGGTCGGAGATCTCTGAGAACTGTTCAGAAGGACCTGCAGTGGATGAACCACAGCTCAAAGTTAGTGCACAGTCTTACTAGGTGACAAGTATCAGTGAGTACACAGTCCTAAGAGTGATTACAAGTATCAGCGCTGGAGACTTCTCAAGGAAGCATTTTTTTACCACTTAGTTAGGTCCCATCTCCCACTGGTAAGCAGTCATGGCATCATACACTCTCTACCAGTCTTACATTTATTTAGATGGTTGTAAATTGCTCTCTTTCCATAGATATGTTTAACAAAAAGTAGGGGCCATGCCCACTGTATGACTCACCACTATGCCTCCAGAGTCTGACACAAAGTAGGTAATTAATAAACATTTGTTGAAGGGATAAATGGCAAAATAAATCAAGAAGCTCATGGAATTCAGACCAATCATCCTTGAAAATTGGAAGTCAAAAGGGATGCTGAGCTTGGATTATGATAAAGTATCCAGGAGCCTGTCCAGGACGCAGGAGTCAGGAGCCACTGGTCCTGAGTCCTCTCAGTGCAAATGCTAATGAGGCAAGAGGTGGGGTATTGAGGAGAAAACAACACAAACCCCAGCAACAGATCTCCAGGAACTTGACAACAACATGGAGACTTGGAAAACTAGATGAGTAAAAGTGGAAAGTAGAAGGTAGAGGCTAGGAAAGTCCCCAGAACTGAAAAAGCAGTAGCTCAAGACCTCTGAAGGGTGCCAACGGTCTCACTAGTGGGTTAAGAAGCAGCCGTCACAGTTCTCACTAGGCCTGACAAGGTAGACTTTGCAGATCCAAATATGTGGCAAGGTAAAGAACCCCAGGAATTCCATGAGAGAACTATGTAAATAAAGGCACAGGATGGGAACAGGAACAAGTGGATTGGATAAAAATACAGGGTAGGTCGAGGGAAATATTGGAAACACAGTTGGAAAAGTGGGGTGGAACCTTAATAGCTTCCATGATAAAGAAAGTGGGCTTTAATCAATAAACCATAGAAAGGCTCTACAAACTTGGTGAACAGAGAAGAGACCTTATCAATGCTCTGCTTCCAGCTTCAAGAAAGTATATATATAGTGTGTGGGTGTGTGCATGTGTGTGTGTGTGTCTGTGTGTGTATCCTGGGGTACAGCTTATACAGTAGTCCAGGCAAGTGAAAATAAGGTAGGATCATGTGTCCATGGAAATGGAGACATAAACCACAGCAGCACAAAGAGCCAGAAAGATGATCTGCCACAGCACTTAGTCTTCCTTAAAACACACACTCTTCCTGGCCAGGCACGGTGGCTCATGCCTGTAATCCCAGCACTTTGGGAGGCCGAAGCAGGTGGATCACCTGAGGTCAGGAGTTTGAGGCCAGCCTGGCCAACATGGTGAAACGTTGTCTCTACTAAAAATACAAAAATTAGCTGGGCATGGTGGCGGGCACCTGTAATCCCAGCTACTCGGGAGGCTGAAGCAGGAGGATCACTTGAACCCAGGAGATGGAGATTGCAGTGAGCCCAAATCACACCAATGTGCTCTAGCCTGGGAAACAGAGTAAGATTCTGTCTCAAAAAACAAAAACAAAAACAAAAAACAAAAAAAACTACATACTCTTCCTTAAAAGCAACTTGCATAACATGATCTGACTATTTCACATACCTTCCTTTCCCACTGCCACTCTCAAGACACTTTCACTGCAGCTAGTAACAGCAACATACCCCAATGTGCCTTTGACACTTTCTTCCTTTATCAACTCATTCTCACACTTCAAAAATCACCCAGCTGCTGATACTCCGAAGGTTCTCCTCTTCTCTCTCACCCAGGTACTCACACAGCAGCCTGCAGTATCTCAACTACAACACTTACCACACAGTAAGTGCTGATTCAGATTTTCTGTTTTCCCTCCTGAAACTATAACCAGTCACAGGGAGAAAAAGCACATGGTTTGGAGCCCAGGTTCCTGTTTCTGTAACTTGCCAGCTACATATCATCCATGGTACCTCACAGTACTTCTGCAAAATGTATAGGAGACAATACATGCAAGCTGCTTAGCACAGTGTTTCACATGACAGAAGCACTGAATAATAAAGTTTTTTTCTTTTTATTAACCATTCTTGTGATACTGCAGACAAAACAAAGAAGCAGGTTAGGCTACGTGTCAGAGATAACACTCCAAGTCAATGAATAGAACCAGGTTTTCCCCCACTATCTCTGGGATCTCATCCCCTCTTCCCTCCAAACAATGCCTCTTAGCAGTGGACCTCAACAGTGGACCTGAGCTACAACTTCACAAAGAGATGAGCACGCTCTTGAACGGATTCATCATTTCCTCCCACAGATACCAAAGAAGAAGAAAATATGGAGAGGGAGCTACCCAAACTGCAGACTGAACTTTGTACAGCTTTGTAGCCAGAAATAATAAAGAAATAAATAAATGAGGAAAGTAGCTTTTTACTGAGTAATAATTAGAACTCTCCTTCATTTCCTTCCAATTCAAGCCAAAATTATTTTTTCCCTTTTCAGTAATGAATCAAGTGATTCATGAGTATATTGGGGATTTTGTCTAGGCTTAGAGTTGGCCAGTAATATATAGAAGTGGATGTGGTTAATTAAGAACAAGAAAAAAATTGAATTCCTGGTATCAGATCTCTCATTGCACTAGTTTTTGGTACCTCTGTCATCAGCCAAGGAAATTCAATCAATGAAACCCATGAAGAACTACCCATTTACAAGATCCATTTACAATATGTAAACATGAACTTTGCCTTTTGTTCCATGCAACAGGAATTCACCGCCCCATAAATGAGCACATATTTTTATTATTCTGCTGCATCTCATTAAGACAAAAAACTCATTTAACATACTTTATAGCGAATTTCTTCTTTAAAGCTATATTTAATGCCATCACAATTTCCAAATACATGTACAGCACTCTACCGTAGGCAGAGAGTAAAGAAAAGAAGAATGCATCATTTCAAGACCTTGATGAATATTAAAATGCTGGTTACAAGTACGTTACAGTTTATGAATTATAGTGCTTAATATGGCATTTTTACTTATTTTCACTATCCTAGAATTAAGCTGCCCAACACTGACAGGGCAGAGGAAAAATGTCATTTCCTCTGTTTTGAAACTGAAAAGATGATTCTCTTCATTTAAAGACCCTCATGGTAACCAGTGGATTACAGGGGAGAAGCTGTCACTGCCTGTCCAGGCCACATCCCGCTTGTAATGGGCCTGCTGAGAACCCCTGCAGCCCAAGTGGCCTACTCCTCTATCACATGACTCCCTCTTGTTGCAGCTGGTAGGGGCTAAGACAGAGGGACCTGATCAATGTCTGCTCATCTGCAGGCCAGCCAGTTAGCCTGTGCCTGACTAAAATTTGAGCTGGTACAAACTCATTATTCTCCCAAATACTTGGTATTGGGAAAAGGAAAGACTCAGCCATTTAAATGTAAAGCTGGTAATAAAAATGTGCAGTGAGGGTGAATCAGGAACATGGCAAGGCAACAATCCATGCAACCCAAAATAATGAAGGGGCAAAAATTCCACTGAGTAGCTGCAAGGGCAGATTTTATCACCCAACCAAGGAGAAGCAGAGGGCAGGTAGACCCATTCCTAGAAAAGACATCATTCCTGAGATTTCCCATCTGAATCCTTACAGTAAACCTCCTTTTACTGAGGGACTCCTTGCAATCAAACAATCAGGAACACAATGACTGCTGACATAGTGTCTATTGAACAATTAGTGCAGCTCTTTTAAAGCTAAGAAAAAGAAACTATTTCACAGAGATGTAATATTCAAAAACCTAACAAAAAAAGAATTTATCCTGTTTAAATATCAAAAGATGTGTAAAAATTTAGGGCTGTGTTCAAAAAACCATACACATCTGTCTGAAGGCAGCTGACATCACATGAAGCTTTGACTCGTGTGAAATATATAATATTTATCACATGTATTGTTTTTCTATGCTGCATAACATATAATATAAAAGTTAAATAATGTTAAATAAAGCAAAATAACAAATTAAATGTAAGTGTAATAAATAAAGCAAAAACTAATAAAAATGTAATGAGAAATTAACAAATAAAACAGTCATCGACAAAGAGATTCATACCCATGTTTCAAAATACCATACAGCTAGTACATTAAAAATATGTAAGCACATGAAAAAATTTAATAATATAATTAATAGCATGAATAATACAGTCAAACAAGATTTTATATAAATACATAAATATAATTATACATACTATGAAATGAGAACAAATATTTTATTCAGGCCCATAGAACATTTTTTAATTAAATCATGCACTTGAACAAAAAATATGCTTAAATTCAACACATGGAAAATCATATGGATCACATCTACTGATAAACCCATAAATTTTAAAAGCACAATAAAATGTTCACAAAAATGAAGCTGACTATTTGGGAATTGCTAAATATTTTCCTAAATAATCCTTAGGTCTGAAAATAAAAGAAAACTGCTATTACTAAGGATTTACAAGACAATAAAAAAGAGACTACTTCATACCCCAAACATTAGGATATAGATAAAGTCTTGCTTATAGAAAAATGTATGCCCTGAAAAATCATTACTAAAAAAGAAAAACTGAATGGAACCAAGTAAACATTTTTAAAATGTTAAAGGTAAGATACAAAATAAACCAAAAGAAAACAGAATGTAGAAATAAACAAAGAAAAAAGCTGAAATGTATGATCTAAGAATTCAAAAATTCACGCTGCCAGGATGAATAAAATGCAAAAATTCTCACAGGTCTGATAAGGAGAAAAGAGAAATAATAAGAAAGGCGAGCAGAAAATAAAAACAGATATACCAGATAAAGAGTTAGAAAATTTTATGAAAATATTATATGCAACTCTATGATGACATATTCGAAAGCCTAGCATTAGTGGATAATTCTCTAGAAAAATACAAATTACCAAAACTGATAAAAATAGACCAAATGAATATACAAACCACTAATAATGTAGATTATCAAGGCAATTAAAGCCTTGTTTTTTAAAGGCACTAGTTCCAGACAGACTTACAGCTGAATTATCCAACTTTTGAAAGATGCATAATTTCAGTGAAATTTAAATTATTCCAGACTATAGTTAAAAATAGAAAGCCTTCTAATTTGTTTTTTAAATTTTAAACTAGCCAGATGTAATAAAGCTCAAAAACAGAAAATCACAGTCCAACTTCACTGGTAAATATATGTGCAGATGATGTCAATAAAATACTATCAAATTAAATCAATATTCGCAAGATTTCTAAAGAGTAATGCATTGTCATCAGGTACAGTTTATTTCAGAAAGCCAAAGATGACCAATAAACATAATGACAAATTCATTACATTGAAACCTTAAAGAAACATCTCTATATATCTATGATTTCATAAATGGTACTAAAAGTAATTTGATAAAATGCAGGCATATTTTCTAATAAGAATTCCAAGTCAGATTGGAAGAAAATAAATATAGTATTTATATATAAAGAAAAACATCATTAAAATCAGAATGACCCTTTATTACCACTATTATTCAAATTTGGGCTCTGAGATTCTAGTAAATAAGGATAAGAAAATAAAATAATTGGCTTAATAATTATAGTAATAAAGCTACTAAAGTTCATAAGGGAACTGTACAAGGTGATTACATACACTATATGCAAAACCAATATTTTTATATCTAACAAAAACAAGAAATTAAAACAGAAAATTGCTATTCACGATAGTTCAACAAAAAAAACCCTCTATTTTGTTGTAAAATTTTATTGTTAAATACAAAATAATATTTGAACAAGTACATAGGCAAACAATGTCCTTGGAAAAGAAGACTTCATGCCAAAGTATTATAAACAAAAATCCTCCAAAAAGTATATGCTTCAAAGTATACTTATAAGCAATCCAGTTAGAATCACAACCATTTTGAAATCAGTTAAAATGATGTTAATGTTCATATGGAAGTATAAATAGCTAAGAAGATTAAAAAATATAAAAACAATAGTAAGTTGAAGACTCCCATCTATTAAAACTCACTATAACAGAATCTTAAACAAATAAGAAATAAGCAAATAATTGAGTGGTTGCAATAGCGTCCAGTAGTAGGTCCCAATATATACATGTAATTAATATATTCCATGTAGAATTCTATTTTAGTAAGAAAAAAGTATTTATTCAAAACACTGTCAAAACTAGTTATCTATCTGTAAGTAAATTAAGTCATTATTTCACATCATGTTTCATATGAGTGGAGTAAAGACACAAATGTGAAAATAAGTAAAAATAGAATAAAATTTAGGAGAATAAATTTTGGGGGAGACTTTTTACTCAAGGTTTTTATAACCAAAGGTAGAAAACCCAAAAATTCTAGAAGAAAAATCAGAAATATTTGATTAGATAAAAAATAAAAACAGAGTCAAAGATGAATAGAGGATTGGGAAAAAAAATATTAACATTTTAAAAAGAGTTTCTACATATTAGTAAAAAAAAAAAGTATAAGCAACCAAAAAAGAACAGGAAATGCAAATGTCCAATAAACATAAACAGAGTCAAACTCAATCTGAATCAGAGAAGACAATACTAAAATAGCATTGCTATGCATTTTTTTTACACATTATGTGGCCAAATTTTTTTTTTTTTTTTTTTGAGATGGAGTCTCATTCTGTCTCCACGTTGGAGTGCAGTGGCACCATTGAGGCTCATTGCAACCTCTGCCTCCCGGGCTCAAGTGATTCTCCTGCCTCAGCCTCTGAGTAGCTGGGATTACAGGGGCCTGCCACCACGCCCCGCTAATTTTATATAGATAGATAGATAGATAGATAGATAGATAGATAGATAGATAGATAGATAGATTTTTTTTTTTTTTTTTTGTGACAGAGTGTGGCTCTGTCACCCAGGTTGGAGTGCAGTGGCGTGACCTCGGCTCAGTGCAACATCCGCCCCCAGAGTTCTAGCAATTCTCCTACCTCAGCCTCCCGAGTAGCTTGGATTATGGGCGCCTGCCAACACTCCTGGCTAAACTTTTTGTATTTGTAGTAGAGACGGGATTTCACCATGTTGGCCAGGCTGGTGTCCAACTCTTGACCTCAGGTGATTCACCCACCTCAGCTTCCCAAAGTGCTGGAATTACAGGCATGAGCCACCGCGCCCAGCCAATTTTTATACTTTTTGGTAGAGATGAGGTTTCAACATGTTGACAAGGCTGGTCTCGAACTCCTGATCTCAAGTGGTCTGCCCGCCCTGGCCTCCCAAAGTGCTGGGATTACAGGCATGAACCACCACGCCCAGCCAACATGGCCGAATTTTTTTTTAATGTGACAATACCCATTATTATAGAAAATTAGATGTAGGGCAGGGGCACTTTGATACATTGTTGTTAAAAATGTGAATGACTGCTATTTTTGGAAATAAGTCTAGCAATCAGAGTAGTCCCCCCTCATCTGCTTAGGACATGTTCCAAGACCCCCAGCGAATGCCTGAAACCGCAAACAGCACTGAGCCCTATATATACTATGTTTATTTGACCTGAAAACCTAGATGGCTATGGCAATTGAGTAGCATATACAGCATGGATATGTTCGACAAAGGAATAATTCACATCCTGGGTGGGAAAAAGGAGAGTATCACAAGATTTGCTACTCACAGAAACATGCAATTTAAATCTAATGAATTTTCCATTTAGTATATTCAGACCACATTTGCTTGTGGGTATGTAAAACCATAGAAAGCAAAACTGCAGATAAGTGGGGACTAGTGTAGTTCTTTCTTTCCTTAGTGATAGCAATCTCATTCCTGATAATCTATTTTGTAGATTTAAAAGCCATATGTTATTCACATATAAAATAATGTTTAGTGCAGTATTTATAGTAATAGCAAATAACAGAGAAATAATATATTGTCCACCAATAGGGAAATTAACCAAGTTACATCCAACCCATGAAATAGTATGCAGCTATAAAAAAAAAGAATGCAGTCATGGAAAGACACTTTCCCAAGTCCTGAACTAGTATTATTATCTTTTCTTCCCATTTATCAATGTAATAAAGAAAACTGTAATTCATTGCTTTTATTTACATTTATTTGATTGCTAATGAGATTGAAAGTTTTTTTTATGTTGTCACTAGCCATTTGTGCATTCTTTTTATGGATCACATCAATGTTGCTTGTTTTACAATTAGGATTTTCCTGCTTCCCTTATTAATTTGTAAAAATTCATTATACATAAAGACTCAATCTTTGGCCATCAAATTACATTATAAATATTTCTATTTACTGTATAATACTGTATGTGGAGTGAGCTTTCTCACATACAGATGTTGTGAGAAATAAATAGTTAAACCTATCAGTAATTTAATTTTCCCTTGTATTGCATTTAAAATGTACATTCCTGCCCAAATAGTATATAAATGTTTTCCTCTATTTTCTTAAAGTACATGCAAAGTTTGATTTTTTTAACATTTAAATCTTTAATCCATCTGGAGTTTATTTTGGTGGATGAAGTGACTTAGGAATCTGACTTTCCCCATTGAAGTAGGGTTCTTGCCTGAAACAGCAGGCAGGAGCTCCAGGAAGGAGGCCAGACACAGCCAAGCAGTATTCTTGAGGAGATGCCGGGAGGAAAAGAAACTAGCTGTGGAAAGCTGGCCCATGGAACAGCAGTTTCCCCATGTACAGAGAGTAAACCAACCAGAAAGGAAATCTTCCAGCCTAGATGTCCCATGTCTCCACCTTCTCCAAATTGCTTGGTCACTAATATAAATTTACACTAATCAGCCATTCAATGTTAGATGTGAAGGGAGAATACTACTGTACAAGAGAATATTGAGGAGATACAGAAACAAACCATCCATGTTATTTTTGGGCAAATACAAGATCGGAATAAATCTTTTTTCATTTAACAATGAAAAAGATAAGAAGATACAATAATAACCATGAAGATATTATGCCCTACAAAATGGAATAAATATAAAATGTAAGAGGTAAAGAGCATACTTTTAACATAAATATGGCAGAAAACAGGTAAATTTTAGAAAGCATTTATTTATCCTCTCATATATTAAAGAAAACTCTCTGGACCCTCCAAACAGAGAAAGTAAAGATGAGCTAAGAAAAAACAAACAAAAAGAAAATTAGCAGAACCATTAAAACAAAGTAAGGAGAGAAGAATGCCTTAATACAGTCTAAAATTACAATAAAACTTGTAAAGGTCAGAACCAACATTGCAGAAAATCAATCCAGGCAAGATTGATGAAAAATGGGAGGAACATATCAAAATGCCCCCCAAAACTGATAAGAATTATGGGAGACATAAAATGGAGATTCAATATATAAATAATGTATTTTAATAAAGAAGAAATCTAAACAAATTCGACAAAACAAAATATTGCGTAAGAAACTTTCCTTAAAGCTATAGCTTGTAGTAGTTGTTGTTTATCTTATCTTGAAAAGATGAAGAAAGGAGAAAAAGCATCAGCTAATTTTACAAACCATAATTCCTCCTAGCAATAACAGGAATTTGTATTGGACAGCACATTTTGGCTACCAAGAAATGTTAGTTCCTAGTTAAAGTTTGTCTTCCTAACAAGTTAAGGAGATGCACCAATAAGAAACAAGCAGTCTATTTGTGAGTGAGAGTTATGAGAAAAGAAGTGCATGAACAGTGAGTGGCTTCTGAAGTGACCACTGTGAGGACTTGGACAAGCAGTGCAGTCTCTGGTCTAATGGACAAGATTTTGTGGATTGGGAACACTACACAAGGCATGATTGAATAGGAAACCACCCTGGCAGCCTCTGACTTCCACCTTTGAACAAGAAGTCATTTACATCATATTTGCCATCAAGAATGCCCAGCCGAAGAAAGAACATTTGAGTGCTTAAACAGGGGTGGGAAAAGTGGATGGCGTGGGCCTAAAGGAGGCAGGAAAAAATGCCCTGCCTCGTTTTTGTCCACCACCATCAAAAAAATTATGTTCTTTTCCTTTTTTGAATAATTTACTTTTTTTATTGAGTCATAATAGATGTACATATTTGGGGGCTGCATATGTAAATTTGATACGTTCATGTAATGTATAAAGATCAAATCAGGGCAATTGGGATATCCACCACCTTAAATATGTATCTACTGTATGGTAGGATCATTCAAATTAATCCTGTCTAGCTATTTTGAAATGTACAATAGATTATTGTTAACTATAGTCAACCAACGGATCTGTTGGAAATCAGGTCTTAACTTCTTCTATCTAACTGTATAGTTGTACCCATTAATAAATCATTGTTTGTCCCCCCTCTCCCTGCTACCTTTCCTGGCCTCTGGCAACCACCAATCTACTTCTATCTTCTTAAGATGCAATTTTTTAACTTCCGCATGTCAATGAGGACATCCACTACTTGTCTTTCTCTATTTGGCTTATTTCATTTAACATAATGACCTCCAGTTCCACCTATCCTGCAGCAAACAGCAGGACTTTTTAATTTGTTCTTTCCTCAAATGTATAATTCATTGGCTTTTTGTTTGTTTGTTTTGAGACACAGTCTCACTCTATCGCCCAAGCTGGAGCACAGTGGCACGATCTCGGCTCACTGCAGCCTCCGCTGCCCAGGCTCAAGCGATGCTCTTGCCTCAGCCTCCTAAGTAGCTGGGATTACAGGTATGTGCCACCATGATCAACTAATTTTTGGATTTTTAGTAGGGATGGGGTTTCACCATGTTGGCCAGGTTGGTCTTGAACTCCTGACCTCAAGTGATCCTCCCACCTCAGCCTCCTAAAGTGCTGGGATTACAGGCATGAGCCACCGCGCCCAGCCAATTCATTGGCTTATGACAGTGTGTTAGAGAAAAGTGAGAAGAGCCATTTTTCCCACTCTATATTTTTTTAGCTTAATCAGACGTTTTCTGTAACAAAATTACCAAGATGAATAAAAATCTAACTAAATCTAACCCTTTTTGTGCTGACCAAAAAGATTCACCTTATATAAGGTGTAATTCATTAAACCTAGACAATCCTGATTAATATTTTTTTTGTAGATAAAGACATAGTCCTTAAAAAAGACTTAAAAGTCAGACTGGCCTAGATCACTTCACAATATTGTGTATGGAATAAAATTACAGCTTTTCAATGGGGAAAGATGCTTACCAAGAATTCTATATCCAGACAAATTTTCATTCACTTGTAAACACAACAGAATGATATCTTCAGATACGTAAGGACTTACAAAATATGCCACCTATGCCTCCTAGAGAAATAATAAAAGGTTGGAGGCATATTCCTACCACAAAGAAGTTAGGTAAGACAAAAAAACTCATGAATATGCAAGTGCTATGAAAGAAATGGGAATAAATATTGCCACTACTCGATCTCAGAATTATATCCAAAATAGCTGCTAAAATAAAATAATATAAAATGGTATAATAATTATTGAAAGAAAAGATATATGAGTTAAAAATAGTGGCTGAGGTAGTAACTGAGATAAAAACATCAAATATACAACAAATCTGGAAGCTGAAGGAAGAAAAAAGTAGAAGGGAGCAAATAGTGTCTCCCTATTGCCTTCATTTATGGTCAAAGTTATACAAAGAACTAAAGTAATATCAAATAAACAAATAAATATTGTAGTATTCAAGACAAAAAGTATTAACTGGATTTAAAGTAATAATTGAAAAAACTAAATAAAATTAAAGAAGGTTATATAATACAGCAGCTCAAGACATGTGAATTTCAACTACCCAGAAGTAACAAATGATTTTGGTGATGTGGCCAGTTATGACATATATATAATACAAGCATAGTAATACAATATAAGCATGGTAATTGCATATCTAATATAAGCAATTACCATGCTTAGATTATATACGCTCGTGCTACACAAGGGGCAAAGATTCTACCCACTACAGCACCCAAAAGATGTAAAATATCTAGACACAGACACTAAGACAGGTATACAATGTATACGAAGAAATCTACAAAACTTGCTATTATGAGGGTTCACTAGTGCTATGCTCCTGGAAGGGAAGACTCAACTATGATGAACAGATCAACTCTAATCAATTTAATTTTTATATTTAAATCAATGCCAATCAAAATCTGATAAACTGTTGTTTACTTGACATTTTCCCTCAAAATTTTCTCCAAAAGTTGCAGTGAGCTGAGATTATGCCACTGCACTCCAGCCTGGGCAACAAGAGCAAAACTCTGTCTCAAAAAAAAAAAAATTATCCAAAATAATACACAGGAAACAATGAGCAAAAAAAATTAAAAATGAAGAATACTATAGGGTTTATGAAAATAGATGTCTAAATTTGCTATAAAGCCAAAACAATGACAATAGAATTGAACTGAGGTAGTAAGAGACAACAGGGGCCAGGTATGGTGGCTCATACCTGTAATCCCAGCACTTCGGAAGGCCAAGGCAAGAGGGTTGCTTGAGCTCAGGAGTTCAGGATCAGACTGGACAGCAGAGTGAGACCCCATCTCTACAAAAAATAAAAAATTTAGCCAAGTGTGGTGGTGCACACCTGTAGTCCCTACTTGGAGGCTGAGGTGGGAGGATCACTTGAGCCCAGGAAGTCAAGGCTGCTGTGAGCCATGATCGCACCATTGCAATACAGCCCGGGCAACAGAGCAAGACCCTGTCTCAAAAAATAAAAATAAAAAAGAGAGACAGCTCAGCATGATGGCTCACACCTGTAATCCCAGCACT
This sequence comes from Homo sapiens, assembly GCF_000001405.40. Classification (NCBI taxonomy): domain Eukaryota; kingdom Metazoa; phylum Chordata; class Mammalia; order Primates; family Hominidae; genus Homo; species Homo sapiens. Next base: position 40,409,217 of record NC_000007.14, on the reverse strand, counting down.
TTGGAGAGGCCAAGGTGGGCAGATAGCTTGAGTTCATAAGTTTGAGACCAGCCTGGGCATCATGGTAAAACCCCAGCTCAACAAAAAATACAAAACTTGGCCAGGTGCAGTGGCTTGCGCCTACAGTTCCAGCTACTCAGGAGGCTGGGGTGGGAGGATCACTTGAGCCTGGGAGGTAGAAGCTGCAAGTGAGCCATGACTGCACCACAGCTTCCAGCCCAGGCGACACAGCAAGATGCTGTCTCAAAAAAACAAACAAAAGAAACAAAAAGCAGAGAGAGAGAGAACAGAAAATAAAGGCCAAAACCATGTAGGCCTTTGTGTATCTGTTCATAAAATAAGTTCAAATCACTGAGGTATTATTAACATAAATGGTTAAAGGTGAATGGAATAACTATTTGAAGGGCCCACACTACTTATCTTTGGGCAAATGACTTCATTTTGCTTCTGTTTGTTTTGTGTTTCCCTGTCATTTTGGTATTTTCCTGAGCTCTCCAAATTTCCAACAATGAGAATGCTTCCATTTCGTAATTAGAAAAAGCTCATAAATGTTATTTTAATAGTATGGGTTCAATGGAAGTTGTAATTAGAAAAGAAAAAAAGTTTTTAAAAATTCTATAAATCTGAGATTCCCTCCACAATGATGCAACTGTGGGAAAAATTGCTTTGGTAATAAACTATAACCCAGGTAAACTGTGAAAAAGAAAATGGCTGAAAAATATTCTTAGACAGTTGGGTATTGACTTGGAAAATTAGGACTTCATGAGGAGTTCCACGAGGTCACCATCTAAGTAAGCAGAAAGCGGGAGGCATACTAGGATGGGATAAAAATAATCAAGTCAATCCTTCGGTTTGCAGAAGTCAGTTTTTAACATGGTTTCAGGAACAAAAGTGTTCAAATGATAAGGACTAGGTTTCCTAAATTACTAGTAATATAGATGAGTATCTCTAGAAAAGTAACTAAAGAATATTTTCTCAATAGTAGCTCCAATATATATGATAAATAGAATATGCACATATATGCATTATACATTAACCAAGAGCATCTGTCATTTAAACAAAAGGAGGTAACTGTAATTAATGTTGCTTTCAAGTTTAAGAAATGCTCTAGCAATACTGTCTTTTAAATAAAAAAGGTATCATCTTCAATTTGCCTTCCAAATTTTTTTACATAATGACTACCAAAAGACTACAGAAAAGTACATTTAATCTGAATGACTTGGAGAAGCTTGGCGGCATCGAAATCAATAAACCATTAATATCCTTTCAAAGAAAATAGGTAAAATAGAACTAAAGAAAACGTCTGAACTCAGGGGTAAGGTAGTTTATGGTAATAGAAAACTATTCCAGCATCACTAGGGAATGAATTGGATGGCTCTTATTTCAGAGAATATGTCCTGTTTTAAGCTAAGATAGTCTCGTTTAGAGGAAATATAAATGAAAATTTTCTTCTAGTCTATGTTGCCAATTCGTAAATTGGGGGAGGGGGGGACTCTTAATTCATTCCTAAGAAAAGCTTTCTAAAAGCTCAGATCTGCCAAATCCTTTTGCAGAGGAGTGCCAAAATAGAACGAGGGAAGATCAAAAACAAAGTTATTGTCAATGCTGTTCATTCTTCAATACTTAACACTGAACAGAACAATACTCTTTTTTTTGGCATGATCTTCTTCTTAGTACTGAAGCTTACTATTTCTATCTTCTTAAGACTTAAAGAGGACCATAAATGATGACGTACTTCTTTTTTTTAATTTTTGCCAGTTTTAATATAATATTTTATATTTTCATCAACTTTAAAGATATATAAATAATTGAATATTTACATTAATTTCAGATAATATCCTGACAAATGCTAACTTTCATTGTTTTATTAAAACAAAATATCTGGAATTATGCTTAAATACTAAAAGCCATTTCATCCAGCTTTTGGAATATCACACAGCTACATTTATTATATTTCTATTCATAGAGCCAATCAGGGTAAAATTTTCCTTGAATCAACAAAGATACGTGAACGGCAAAATTTATCTGATGACAATAAGGTGAATTGCAAGCATTTTTGTGTACGTTTGTGCATTTGAATTCTTATATTCATTCATATTTTGTTTTCTTTGTTGTAGTCTTCAAAGAAGGCCTTCAAGCTCTTTGTTCTTTTTTTTATCTTTTTTGACAAAAAAATGTATTTAAGTTTTTATTTTTGTAAGGTAGACTTTATTTCGAAACTTGTTTTCAACCAAGAACCTAGACTATCATCATATTTCCCAGTTTTCTGTCCATATGTATAATTTAAAGCTTAGCAAAAATAGCTGAGGGATCCTTTGTTTCTAGTCCCATGCCAAATGATCATTGTAAAAATTCAGAATTCTCTCAGCTGTCATTGAATATGAATGAGCACCTAAAAAACCAGTATACTTTGCAATATTATTTACTCTTTTAAAAACTTCTCAAAAGTCTAGGACAGATTTTTGGAATACTTATCCCTGAGATACATTCTTATGATTAAATTACAACTTTTTGAATAAAGAGAATAGTGTACATTAACTCACAATTGAACAAACCCTAATCAGGTTAACTCTCTAGTTAACCTAAATAAATCAATTTCCTTGCCTAATGAAAAGACCTTTGAAAAAATTATGACAGTGAGAAAACTCTGAAAGTGAAAGAAATCTGACCTGTCTCCATCTTGCTTCTAACCTCCAAGTTGCCCTCGTTCATTCCTCTGTGTAGGCCAAACTTGAGAGGAATTTACTTTATAGTTTAACTTTGAAACAAAGATGATAACAGTCCCTCCCCAAAATGAACCCATCCTTGCTTGGGGACCACACTGCCTTTGTGAAACTAATAAATCAGCCACAACATTAGAAATTATGGCTCACAAGTCACACAGCCAAAGGCCACAAGATTCCTAACCTCCCCAGTTACTCCTATATATAATATTACCATTGTCAAACCTAAGATTGGTATTGGAGGTATTTCTCAGACCCTGCATTCTGATGAACCAGCTGGCGTCATCCAGACTAGTACACTGTATCATCTCATCTGTAAGAACTGACTCAGCAAGAAGACAGCTTCAGCTCCCTATGATTTTATCCCCCACTCAACCAATCAGCATCCCCCATTCCCTAGCCACCTGCCTATCAAACTACCTTCGAAAAACCCTATGCTCCAAATTTTCAGGGAGGCTGATTTAAGGAATGATAAAACTCCTGTCTCCCATTTAGCTAGCTCTATGAGTATTAAACTCTATTGCAATTCCCATGTTGATAAATTGGCTCTATCTGGGCAGCAGACAAGAAGAACGCACTGTGTGGTCACACCAATGGCATCACCATGAAAATCTGCATTATAGGATTTCATAAATTGAAACTAACATTTCCTCATTGGTTTTTCTTTTTTTTTTTTTTTTTTTTTTAGACAGAGTCTTGCTCTGTCACCCAAGGTAGAGTACAGTGGCGCTATCTCCGCTCACTGCAACCTCTGCCTCCCAGGTTCAAGCAATTCTCCTGCCTCAGCCTCCCGAGTAGCTGGGACTACAGGCACCTACCACCACGCCTGGCTAATTTTTGTATTTTTAGTAGAGACAGGGTTTTGCCATGTTGGCCAGGCTGGTCTTGAACACCTGGCCTCAAGTGATCCACCTGCCTTGGCCTCCCAAAGTGCTGGGATAAAGGCATAAGCCACCACGCCCAGCTCCTCATTGTTAAAAACATTAATTTTGTAAAATATTTTCTATACTAAGTAGCTGATATTATAAGAAGCAAAGTAAATGTGCTTTGTAATAATTAAAACATGTTCAAATGCTAATTTTAAAGAAGGAAACATTATCTTAGCGGTAAAGAAAAAGAAAAAGAAAAGACATTATCCCCATTATACAAATGGAGAAACTGTGGTCGATATTTATATAACATATCCTATAATACATATACTACATCACTTTAAAAGAGCATAAAACACTGAATTTCCTAGGGATAAGGTCACTGTATACATGTGATTGGGTCTCTCTTACTTCTTCCAGCCATGAGTATACTGACACTTTAGCCTTGCCAAAACAGCTCAGGAGAAGGCCTGGCTATTTAAACACTTCTGCTGTTGAGGGGTATCTGCCAGGTGAGGCTCTCATCTCTTTGATTTGCTATGCAGCTTACAGAGTAGTCATAAGGTTTAGGTTTGGGTTTCAGGTAATAAAGAGGCCTAAAAATTGAAAAACATTCCCTGGCTCAGCATACCAGAGAGCTTTGGTATTGTGTTTCAACCTAAAGCCCAGCTAATTCTATAAAGACACCAGAATTAGGAATAGAAACCACTATTCCCAGCACTGCTAGGGCACATCTCTCTGTAAACATTAAGAACCTGTCAGAGAATGGAATCATACTGAACAGGCTTTGTTGACCTGAGAAGCATTTTTCTCTACGAGAAGTTATGCTATCAAAATATGGATCAAAATCTCCTCTAGGGGCAAAGAGATAGCAACAAATTCAAGTGGAGTCTGAGCATGGTGGCTCATGCCTGTAAACCCAGCACTTTGGGAGACCATGGTGGGCAGATCACTTGAGGTCAGGGGTTCGAGACCAGCCTGGCCAACATGGTAAAACCCTGTCTCTACTAAAAATACAAAAATCACCTGGGTGTGGTGGCACATGCCTGTAATCCCAGCTGCTAGGGAGGCTGAGGCAGGAGAATCGCTTAACCCAGGAGGCAGAGGTTGCAGTTAGCCGAGATCGTGCCACTGCACTCCAGCCTGGGTGACAGAGTGAGACTCCACCTCAAAAAAAAAAAAAAGTCAAGTGGATCCTTCTCTGAAAGTATGTCTTCCTCAGACCAAGGAAGACAAATAAAGACTAGAGAATGTCATTGTCTCGGTACCAACACCTACAAGATGTCAGGAGCCTTGCCTAACAAGTAAAACCAATATCATCTTCCATCTTTTGCTTAGAATTGTGCAATAGCAACTGTAAGAAACTTCATCGGCTCTAATTTTTTTTCTCTCTGATGAGGAAACTGAAGCCCAGCAAAACTGGGCAACTTGCTCAAAGTCACCCAGAAGTGGAGTTTCCTGAGGTCCTGGCAGAGGCCCTTTTCCTGCACATTGCAGTGCTCATCCATCTCCTTCCATTCCTAAGTGACCTGTACCAGTCATCTTCACATTCAGTGCCTTAGTGTAGCCAGTGTGTTCCTTTTCCTGATCCCTTCCTTATCTCCTTTTCCTATATGGCTACAGCGTGGAAAAGGAAACCCACCAAAGAATACAAATGCCCAAGAATGTAATGCACAATTTCATCTAGATTGATTACATTGCATCAGCCAGCAAGCCAGTCAAAAAGAATCCCAGAAGCAGATGCTGCTTCCAAAACTAATCCTCAAAGAGATTAAAAGGGCATGTTTGCACTGTAAACTCAACCTGTTTGCCATATAGACAAAGAAAACATGAAAACATGCTTGCCATCAAACTGCATGAAATTAGTTCCATTCTACTATGAAGAAATTGAGTAGACAGAAGTTGTGAATCATCTAATCACATGGAAAGCAGAGATATGGCAGCCTCAGAAACTCAAAGTTTTAATTACTCTGTCCTGTGTTCAAGTCACATTGACAGGTTTGGGTTATGTGAACATTCTCCTGAATTTTCAAATGGCCCCTCCCATTTTATGTCTGTTGTAACTTTTCTCTTTTTACCCAACATACTGAGAGTTAAAAAGATAGTTCTTATTCCCGTTATTCCCGTTTTACAAATGTTCCTCCCCTGCCCCTTTAGGCTTACAGTCCCTCTAGCAAATTCAGTGTCCCTGCAAGTGTTACCACTGTTTTTAATACAGTGAGATAAATTGTACCCTAATCAAATGTGTTTTGGATAAAATACTACTCAGCTTTCATTCTTCATGACAAGTCTTATGTTATGTATCTGTGAATAAAGCTTGCATGGAACTCTCTATTTATTGACAGATTGTAATGTTGCTAAGCTTACCTACTTCTTTATTTTTGTGCCATGTAAGCAACAAAAGCACTTGCATTTTTGTACAAAACCTAATAAAATCATGGAAAATGACAGCAAAAATGTGTTTAACATATAGTTTACAGTCATCTACTCCCCAAAGGCAAAACAAGGAAAATGGAAAAATAAATATAAGAATAAAGATAGGACATGAGGAATAAGGGTACAGTTTAAAACGAAGTAAGTAACACAGATATTGAGACCAGACAATGCCCCTGTGCACATAATCATGCCGTGGGCTGCCTCTAACCTATTGGAAATTAAGTGAAGTGCAACACGAGGTTTCCAGTAAAAAGTCTCTTGTGTTCTCACCTAAATACATGGAAGACAGTAGTCCTCATCACTAAAACCACACATAAATCAGAAAGTTGGCAGTGCTTGCTCTGGAGAGTCCAGAAACTTAAGCTTTTTGGAGATTGAACTTCCTCTCACCCTAAAAAGGATGAATCCTACCCGATCAGGATGAAGCAATGAGAGCGGACTTTCTAAAAGCTGAGAGAGAGACAGACATTTGATTTCCAGAACCATTTAATATAGCTCTTATTAAAATACATACATGGATTCCCATTCCAACACATTTAAGCCAAAAAGAGAAAACCTAGATGTATTTTTAAAAGTGGATTTTTAAGAAAGAACAGAAAAAAAAAACAGGTACCAATAAACAGTATCTGGAAATTTCACTGACTTTGTATTGCATATTGTTAAGGGGATTTATTTTTCTAATAATAAATTTTCCCCCATAGAAGTTTATGAAAAGAAAAAGAAAATCTTTTCCTCTTATAACGTAAGTTGACTTTCTTAATTGAGGCAGTTGTTTTCCAGGCCATAGGATGTCAGATAGCACAGTAAGAGAAGACAGCTTGATTTTTATGTCAGCCATAAACTAAGTTTGGATAACTTTCCCTGTTCACTCATCTTGACAATGAAAATAGATTCTATCAAATCATCTTTAATGTCTCCAGCAACTCAAAAGAAAGACGGGGACAGAATTACAGAATGCTTAATAGCACACGTTCTAGAACGGCCTTTCCTAATTGTGTTACCTTTGGTAAGATATCTAGTTTCCATGTGTCTCATTCATTTGAAAAAAAAAAGGGATAAAAATACCTATTTTACCAAGTGTATATAAGGGGTAAAGACATTTAGAATAGTACCTGGCACATAAACGCTCAATAAATATTGGCTATTATTGTTATGCGTGTTTAATAAATGTGTTTTAATGAAACAATCTGGAATGTTTGGTGCAAAAAAACAAAAAAGTTGTTGAAACCCAAAATATTAAGAGAGAAATTTGGAGCATTTTGAAAAGTATCAGAAAGAAAGAAACAGAATCATGGTCAAGAGGAGAGGACCCCTATCTAAACAAGACTATCCAAAAATTGGAAAAGGCTTTTCCTTGGGGATCCTTCTTTGTTCAAATACTAAATATTCACCAAGTTGTTTTCTTGTCTTGATTTATAGCTCTTGTTATTTCTGGTCTTATGTAAACTTCCCTTCTAGGAAGAGGTATTTCCTATTTTAGATTATTAAACTAGTTTCTAACTAAAACCAGAATTTGGTCATTGTGAGTGCATTTTCCCTAGGGCTTAATCACTCTTCAGATTAAATGAATGGTCAGTTCCCAGACTGCAAAGTTGGAAGGGCAAACCTCAGAGAATACAGAGTCCTTAACCTACCTTTCCTGAATGCTCACAGTTTAACAGAGTATTCTCTGCTTGGGCCCTAACAGTGTCTTGCCTACGTAAATAAATTAGTAGCCTCTTAACATGCTATTCCACTTCCATGTTTCCTTGTCCAGTCCACAGAGCCTGACACTTCTACTTAACAGAGTTGTAGAGCACACAGAGGGCAGAGCCCTTCTCTGAATCATTTCAAGATAGCCCTATTGGACCTAGTGTATAGCAGACCTCTTAAAGTCTAAGGTAATTGCACAAGGTACTACTGTAACTTATATTGTCATATAATTATTTCTCAGGTTTGGTGTAATAAGAGCCCAAGGAAATTTTTGGTCAGCTTGTAATGACAGTAAATATTCCTTCTTAAGGCCAGACACTATAATTTTTATAAATATATCTGAGGCTTTATGAGATACAGGCTATTCCACAAGAAAAAAAGAATCAAACCAGTTATCCTTCCTTAATCTCAAAAGTTAAGAACAATTCATGATTGACAAAAAAGGAGTAAATTACAGCTAAAGAGTAACATGAAGATGAAAGGATATAAAACAAAAGCATTTTAGCAACTTCCAAGGGTTGTACTGGGATGCCTTCCTGATGATTATACGGATTGGAAAGTTCCATCTGGCCTTGTTCAAAACCATTCAAGTAAGGGTGCAAAAATCTTTTCCCCACCTACATCTCCATCACTCCTTTAGGGTACAGGCTCATATTCTTTATCTCTGGCGACTGGCCTGAGATGAGCTATGACTATCGAAGGACCCTGAAAGTAGGTTCTCATTACTTAAGTAAGGTACAAAGTAAGCAAAATGCATAAGCACAGAAATCCAACACATCAGCAAAAAGTCAATAGAAATACTCTGGTAGGTGGTTAGATTCTCACCAAATGCCAGTTAGAGGAGCAGTTTATGCACTGCTCCTGTCACAGAAGTCCTCGTCACAGGAGACACATTAATAAATGATGCCAAGATGGAGATAGAAGTTGGCTCTCATGAAGATATATGCTTCATGAAGAGTATATCGCCTCTTAACTAAAAATAGAACTGTCACTCAATCCAGCAAAGCCATTAATGAGTATCTACCCCAAGGGAAAGAAATCATTATATTAAAAGGATACATGCACTTCTATGTTCTCGCTATGTGACCTGCCTGCTCCTCCTTTGCCTTCAGCCAGGACTGTAAGCTTCCCTCACCAGAAGCAGATGCTGTTGCCATGCTTCTTGTACAGCTTGGAGAACCATAATCCAAATAAACCTCTTTTCTTTATATAATATCTAGCCTCACTTATTCCTTTATAGCAATGGAAAATAGACTAATAAATTCACCATACTAACAGGAAGAAAGAAGAAAATCCATATTATCATCTCAATTGATAAGAAAAAGAATTTAACAAAATTCAACCCAATTTATGAAGTAAGAAAAAAAAACTTAGCAAACTGGAAATAGAAGACTTTCTCAGTCTGATAGATAAAATCTATTTATTTTTATTTTTGTTATTATTATTTTTTGAAATGGAGTCTTGCTCTGTCACCAGACTGGAGTGCAGTGGCACAATTTTGGCTCACTGCAACCTCTGCCTCCTGGGTTCAAGCAATTCTCATGCCTCAGCCTCCCAAGTAGCTGGGATTACAGCCACATATCACCACACCCAGCTAATTTTTGTATAAAAATCTATTTTTTAAAAAAACCCTACAACTACCATTATAATGGTGAAACACTAAACCATTTTTCTCTAATATCAGGAGTAAAGTAGTGATGTGCTCTTACCCTTTCTGTTCAGCATTGTACTAGGGGTACTAGCCAGTGCAATGAAGCCAGAAAAAGAAATTAATGACATACAGATTGGAAAGCAAAAAGCAAAATAAGCTAATATGCTCATTTCATTATCCAGTCCTTTGTTTGGAGACGGACACATGAACCAAATCAGGCTAATAAGACCCAAGGAGAAACAATTCCTAAATTTTGGTACGAATTCTCTTTCCTGTTGTATCTTTTATTGTGGTGAGGAAACTCTCAATCTCCTGGTGACCACCCTACCCTATTAGAAGCTGGGTCTGAAAATGATCCTAGTGACATTGAACCATGAATCAAGCTGGTTTGAGAGTAGTTCTATGCCTGGACCTCCTAGTTACATAAAACAATAAATTCTCTTTTTGGCTGAAGCCAATTTGGGTTAGGTTTTTTGTCACTTATCACCTAAGAGTCTTAATTTCTTCCTCATATATTTTTTAATACCTTAAATCCTCTCAGGGTTTAGATTTTTTAATTTCTTTCCTTCCAACATTTTTTTTCCTTGGCTTTTCTTCCCTTAGGGTTAAATCAAAATCTACCTTCAAATGGTAAAATAATTATTTTCTAATAAGAAATTAGTATAAATACCATCCTGCCACAAGTTAAATTTTGTTTTTTAAAAAAATTTCCTGACTGATGCATCAAAATCAGTCCTTTGCAAACCTCTTCACTAATGCAGCAGGGTGATAATGTATAATCATCTATTATACTCCTTCTAGATTCACTTTCCACATTGCAGTGGCAGTGAAACAGCAATCAGACATGTCAGATGTGTGCAGTGGAGTTATAAAACATGTTGATTTTATTTATACTGATTATGGACAAAGTCAACAGGAGATATGAGAAGTATGTAGTACACATTCAATTTTCAAGCATGAAGGCTCAATACAATCACTTTTATCTATGCCCCAAGGTCATCCTTCTTATAATTCAATCCTTTGTTCACTGCACAAATCCCCTCCAGACCCCTCCAAAAATTCTTCTCCAAAATCATGCTAAATAAATTATATCTTTCTCACTCTCATTACTCTGTGGTTATTTTACCTATAGCTGTTGTGATTATGATATCACTAATAAAAAGATTGGGCCTTATAACAGGACTAATTTATTCTTTGCCAAGTCTTCAGCTACACTTGATTAGAATGTACTAGGATGAGATGATCCAAAACAAGACCCTATTTGATACATGATCCCGGGAAGCATAATTTAGGGAGATATAACAAGAAAATTAGAAAAAAAAAAAAAAAAAGCCAGTAAAGTGTTACCGATCAGGTTACTGCTCTGGCCAACCGAGATGCAATCCTACTGGGGCTTTCTGATTAATGACATATGATATACCTCAGAATTGTCTTATCAAGAAATAGAGAATGTGGGGCCAGGCATGGTGGCTCACACCTGTAATCCCAGCACTTTGGGAGGCCCAGGCAGGTGGATCACTTGAGGTCAGGAGTTCAAGACCAGCCCGGCCAACATGGCAAAACCCCGTCTCTACTAAAAATACAAAAATTAGCTGGTCATGGTGGCATGTGCCTGTAATCCCAGCCACTCAAAAGGCTGAGGCAGGAGAATTGCTTGAACCCGGGAGGCGGAGGTTGCAGCGTGCTGAGATCGTGCCACTGCACTCCAGCTTGATGACAGAGCCAGACCCTGTCTCAAAAAAAGAAAAGAAAAGAAAAAAGAAATAGAGAACGTGGAATATTCAACCCTCTGACCCCCACACCTCACTGGTTGAGGGTTGTCCATGGAGACATAAAATCTCTGGAGTTTCTGAACTTCCCTGTGTTAGGTAAGCTAGAACCTGTGATTTGAAAGCAAGACCTCAGTCAGAGATTGAGGAGAGACAGATATTTGAGGTAGGCAGCCATCAGTGAGTGCAGGGCTATCTCAGAAGGAAAGAAGGAAAACACAGAGTGGACAGAAGGGATATGGAATGGACCATCAATAGCATCAGTTACACTGTCCAAAACAGCTTGCAAGTCACCTCATCTTCCTGATCACAAGAATACCAGCAAGCTCTTTCTCCTCCTCATTACCTCATGGATTTCTCTGCAGTCTCTATATACATTTTCATTCACCTACTTAACATATTGTATTACGTATTCAAACATAGGTACAATCCCCTTATTAAATATAATAGATTCCCCTTTGATGAATACTATCCAAAAGACAAAAGCAACTTAGACTGGATATAATGTCCCTTTTCTAACCAGTCTGTCTTTGCTCTCCTCCACAATGATCTTTGTGAGGAAATAGGAGCATTAACTTTCAAGAGTTTCAAGAATAAACTCCCTGCTGTCCAGAAGTCGAAGTCACAAATAACTAAAACATAAGGCAAAATAAGCTAAGTGCCATAAGAGAGGTAAATACAAAGTGCTTTGAGGGCTCAAAGGAGATAAATATCACATCCAGTTGGCAGGATCAGGAAGGATATGTGAATGAAGAGGCTTGAGAGCTGAGCTTTAAAGGATGGATGGAATTTTGTCAGTAAAAGGTGGCTAGAGGGCTTTCTAAATATAGAGAATATTATAAGCAAAGTTCCAACCACAGAAAAATGCATGCTCCTTTGAGATACAGTCTGCTTTGGCTGGAGCATAATGTACACATCACAGAAGTGTCCTGGGAGATATCGCTGGAAAGGACCACTCTGCATGCATTTTTAACCATTTCAGTAATCTATCATCAGAGTTTTCAACTCTTAAAAGTGGCATGACATTAATGACTCTGGTGGTAAGGTCTATCTGATATATATTATTTTTAAAGACCAGTATAGTATTCATATTTTACATTTTCTATAAAATCAAACTTGTTGAAATGGAATGTAGGAATTCAGAAGGGGGTCATTCCCTCATGGTCATATAAGATAGCATAAAAGTTTAAGAGCCCATGATCTTTTTTGTCTTGCTTTGTCCAGTTACTGCTTAAAGAAAGAAGTGATGGTTTGTATTTTACAAAAGAGGGAGAATGAGGTAATAAAAAAAGATGAATAAACAAAATAAGTAAATGCTTAATACTCTCTTCAACAGGTGCCTGAATCCACACATATATGTGAATTTAAAGGAAATTAGCCAAAATAAATAACGTGGGAAATCAATGTTAAACACATTTGTATGCATGTGGTTTCTCTCCACATCCTGGGGGATTAACATTTTACTCTTGCTGCAGTCCCATTATTAATCTTACTCTTACCAGAGTCAAATGGGAAGTAAATCGGCAAAAATGTAATAAGTGAAGCTAGAAGGAAATTGTTTTTTTCTTACAGGATAAGTACTTTTAGTTCAACCTGAGGACTGTTTTAGACAGTCCTAAAGGTTGTTTCGTCAGCCTACAAATGCACAGTCTTAGTCAAGCTCTTTTAAACACACAGAAGCACGGCTTATTCTACTTCTGAACATCAATGAGTACTTTTCAGGGCAAATTATCATACATTTAATATTCATAATAATTCTCGGAAAAATTGGTATAAAAACATTATCTGCATTTTATAGATGATAAAACTAAGGTTCAAAAAAAATTTGACTTCCCCATGTCAGAGTTGTATTAAGGCATTTCAAATTCCACTTTCTTCCAATTTATCTAACAGAAGTCATCTTATTTCCTAAATAATTCACTTTCTGAACCTCAAAAATGCAAAAAATGGGGGACACTTCTTTCACTAACAGTCTCACTCTGAGTGTCCATGCTAGTTGTTATATATTTAATATTCTTCTATGGTATCCTATCAGAGAGCAAAGCTAAAACTATCTCTTACATTCTCTTGGCTTTAGTTCTCAGAAGTCTCAAAAAAGTCCTTATAGAGGCTGTTGAATAAATTCAAGGTGTCTCTTAAAGGAAAGTTTGGTTCTCCCTGTAAGAACCTTAGTATGCCCATTCTGTAAAAATAACAGTCTATAGTTGCTAGAATATAAATTAAACTCTTCATTTTTTTAGGAGAATGATAACTTCCCACTTGGATTTCTAGAACCAAAAGCAAGACTACCCAAATTGTTAAGCAACTCAGAACACCTGGATGACAGCCTGTTGCCATAGTTTTCCTTCAATGCTCTCATGCTTCCATTAAAAGGTCCCTGAGACAACAGAAGAAATGATGAGGCTCCCACATTTTCTGAGCTGAGTGGGAATGGGGGAATATGGCTTAAAGCAGATAAGTAGTTCTCAAACTTGAATCTGCATACAAATCACTTTGATCTTGTTAAAATGTAGATTCTGACTCAGTACAGCAGAGGTGAGGCTCAAAATTGAATTTTTTTTTCTTTTTTTTTTTTTTTTTTTTTTTTTGAGACAGAGTTTCTCTCTTGTAGCCCAAGCTGGAGTGCAATGGCAGGATCTCGGCTCACTGCAACTTCTGCCTCCTGGGTTCAAGTGATTCTCGTGCCTCAGCCTCCCAAGTAGCTGGAATTACAGACACCAGCCACCATAACCAGCTAATTTTTGTATTTTTAGTAGAGACGAGGTTTCACCATGTTGACCAGGCTAGTCTCAAACTCCTGACCTCAGGCAATCCGCCTGCCTCAGCCTCCCAAAATGCTGGGATTGCAGGCGTGAGCCACCTCACCTGGCCTCAAAATTGAATTTCTAATTAGCTCCCAGGTCATGCCTATCCTGCGAGTTCAGGACCACGCTGGGTAGCAGCAAGGATCCAGAGCAAACTGCACCCTGTGCCTACCTGGCCTATGAGATAAAAATGGTTTGTGCATTTTCTAATGGTTGGGAGTAAAATTAAAACAATAATAATATTTCACAACATTTAAAAATTATAAGGAATTCAAATTTGTGTCCATAAATAAAAGCTTTCTTACATTATTCAAAATAGCCAAGATATGGAATCAACTTAAGTGTCCATAAAGAAAATGTGTTGTATGTATAAACAATGGAATATTATTCAGCCTTAAAAAGAAGGAACTCCTGTTATGTGCAATAGCAAGGATGAATCTGGAGGACAGTGTGTTAATTAAAATAAGCCAGGCATAAAAAATAAAATAGAAATTACTGCATCACCTCACTTATATATAAATGTGAAAAAGTCAAACTCATAGAAGCACAGGATAGAATGGTGGTTACCAGGGACTGGTGGAGGAAGCAGAGGAAGCACTGGGGAGATGCTGGTCAAAAGATACAAAATTTTAGTTAGAAGGAATAAGATCAAGAGATCTATTGCACAACATGGTGACGATAGTTAACACTGCATGTGAGGTAATGCATAGGTTAATTAACTTGACTTGGCCATTCTACAATGTATACATATTTCATAACATCATGTTGCACAATATAAATCTATATAATTTATGTTTGTCAATTAAGTCATAATAAAATTTCAAAGAAAAATTTTATTGGAAGATGGGCATATTTATTTATCTATTATCTATGTTCCTTTTGCAGTGTGAATTAAGTAGTTGCAACAGGGACTGTATAGACCACGAAGCCTAAAATATTTACTATCTGGTCTTCTATTAAAAAAACCCATTTGCTAACCACAGGTCTGCAGCAGTGGTTCTTAATCATGGCTACATAGTCAAATCACCTGGGGAGATTTTAAAAATATTGATGATGCAGAATTTCTGAGAGTGACTTCGGCATCATTATTTTTTTTTAAGTTCGACAAGTAACACCTGTGAGCAGTCAAGTCTCAAAACCACTGCTATAAAGAAAATATTCTCATCCTGCCCGTGTCTCAGCAACTATAGACAAAGTCACCAAAGTCAAAGAATAAAGTTCAGGTCTTCGACAATTCATAGATTATTTCTGCACAACCTCCACATTTTTGTCACTGCAGACTGAGACACAATCCCTAGAACAATTCTTTGGTTGCTTTTGTTGCTGTTGTTTTTAATTCTAGCAATTCAGAAACCAGTACAATCTCTTACTACTCTCTTTGTGTCTCACCACATTCATTTTCAAGAGTTATCACTGCTTCCTTCTTCCTCCAGATGGCTGAAACCAGCTGTGTAATCACTGGACTGTCTAACACATATGACCCACACATGCTCTAAAAGTACAACCATCTTCATTCCCTTCCTTCAGGAAAGAAATGGGTCTGTAGACCCGTGCAAGGTCCATCCTCTACTTATCTCTTTATTCCAGACTTCGGACTCACTGGGGACCTATGCATTGGTCATACTCCCTCCTCTATCTTCAACACCTCCCTCTCAATAGCCTCCTCTCCCATAACCTAGAAATCTGCTAAATTCTACCATCTCAACCCCCCAAAAAACTCCATCTGTAGCTACCTCTTAATCTTCTCCCTTTATCATCCACAATACATGAAAAAGGATTCCCTACTTGCTGCCTCAAGTCCCAATCCAACATTTACTTCTACACCCAATGTGTCACGGCTTCTGTCAAGATCATTCTATCAAATCGCTTCTTGCAAAAGTCACCAGTTGTCTCCATTCCCTAATTTAGTGGACATTTTTCAACCCTTATCTCATAAGACCTCTACACAGCACTGCACAATGTTTAACATTTTTCTGAAATTGTGTCTGTTTCTCTGATACCACATACCATTGGTTCTCATTATACATCTGATTATTCCTGTTCTGTGTCTTCTGTGGGTTTCCCATTCTTCAATGAACCTAGATACCCCAGTAATCCGTCTACAACCCATTATTCCCCCATGCACCATGACTCAGTCACTGTAATAATAGCACCTACCACAGATGATAAAAATTCCTCAACTGTTTCCACCCCAAATCTCTGCCGACAAGATCAGACTCATATGGTCAATTTCTGTTGACTATCACCATTTGACTATACCAAAGACAATGTGCCCCAAACCAAACTCACTATATCTTCTGCCTGACCCTCTTCCTGCATTTCACTGTCTTAATTGGTGACTCTACAATCCACCCAGTTTTACAGGCTTAAGCCTGGCACTTTTTGTTTAACTCCTCTCTGCTTCATCACCCAAAGCTAAGCATCACTAGCTCCTGTAAATTTATTTTTCAAACTTACATCTCAAATAGATCCCTTGCTACCACTGACTTAATCCAAAGTCTTGCTCATCTTTCACATGGAAGATTAAATCTGGCTTCCCTTCCTCCAGTTTTGTCTCTCCTAAAACCATCTCCTCACCCATTCAAGAGTAATTTACCTAAAACACAAATATTACAATGTCATCGATATGGGTGAAACCTGTCAGTATCTCTCTGTCATACAAGATAATGCCCAAGCTTTTTAACACAGATTCTCAAAAATTTGGACCTCACTTTTGCTGCATCATGCAAACCTCACTTGATATTTGTAGTAACAAGTAACAATAATAAGATGTGCTTTCCGAACCCTCTACCTGGAATTCATTTCTTCCCCCCACCCATTACCCTCTACCCGCCTCTATAGCTTTAGCTAACCCATATACTTTAAGATTCATGAATCCTAGGCTTGCTTACCTGTCCACCTCTCTATCTCCATGACAGCCTGTGCATTTCTTTTTCATCTCTATATCTAATTTGTATTATGACTATTCTTTATGTATTTATTTTATTATTATTATACTTTAAGTTCTAGGGTACGTGTGCACAACGTGCAGGTTTGTTACATATGTATACATGTGCCATGTTGGTGTGCTGCACCCATTAACTTGTCATTTACATTAGGTATATCTCCTAATTCTATCCCTCCCCCATCTCCCCACTCCACGACAGGCCCCGGTGTGTGACGTTCTCCACCCTGTGTCCAAGTATTCTCATTGTTCAATTCCCACCTATGAGTGATAACATGCAGTCTTTGGTTTTCTGTCCTTGCAATAGTTTGCTCAGAATGATGGTTTCTAGCTTTATCCATGTCCCTACAAAGGAAATGAACTCATCCTTTTTTATGCCTGCACAGTATTCCATGGTGTGTGTGTGTCATATTTTCTTAATCCAGTCTATCATTGATGGACCTTTGGGTTGGTTCCAAGTCTTTGCTATTGTGAATAGTGCCGCAACAAACACACGTGTGCATGTGTCTTTACAGCAGCATGACTTATAATCCTTCGGGTATATGACCAGTAATGGGATGGCTGGGTCAAATGGTATTTCTAGTTTGAGATCCTTGAGGAATCACCACACTGTCTTCCATAGTGGTTGAACTAGTTTACAGTCCCACCAACAGTGTAAAAGTGTTCCTATTTCTCCACATCCTCTCCAGCACCTGTTGTTTCCTGACTTTTTAATGATCACTATTCGAACTGGTGTGAGATGGTATCTCACTGTGGTTTTGATTTGCATTTCTCTGATGACCAGTGATGCTGAGCATTTTTTCATGTGTCTGTTGGCTGCATAAATGTCTTCTTTTGAGAAGTGTCTGTTCATATCCTTTGCCCACTTTTTGATGGGGTTGTTTGATTTTTTCTTGTAAATTTGTTTAAGTTCTTTGTAGATTCTGGATATTAGCCCTTTGTCAGACGGGTAGATTGTAAAAATTTTCTCCCATTCTGTAGGTTGCCTGTTCACTCTGATGGTAGTTTCTTTTGCTGTGCAGAAGCTCTTTAGTTTAATTAGATCCCATTTGTCAATTTTGGCTTCTGTTGCCATTGCTTTTGGTGTTTTAGTCATGAAGTCCTTCCCTTGCCTATGTCCTGAATGGTATTGCCTACGTTTTCTTCTAGGGTTTTTATGGTTTTAGGTCTAACATTTAAGTCTTTAATCCATCTTGAATTAATTTTTGTATAAGGTGTAAGGAAGGGATCCAGTTTCAGCTTTCTACATATGGCTAGCCAGTTTTCCCAGCACCATTTATTAAATAGGGAATCCTTTCCCCATTTCTTGTTTCTGTCAGGTTTGTCAAAGAACAGATGGTTGTAGATGTGTGGTATTGTTTCTGAGGGTTCTGTTCTGTTCCATTGGTCTACATCTCTGTCTTGGTACCAGTACCATGCTGTTTTGGTTACTGTAGCCTTGTAGTATAGTTTGAAGTCAGGTAGCGTGATGCCTCCAGCTTTGTTCTTTTGGCTTAGGATTATCTTGGCAATGTGGGCTCTTTTTTGGTTCCATATGAACTCTAAAGTAGTTTTTTCCAATTCTGTGAAGAAAGTCATTGGTAGCTTGATGGGGATGGCATTGAATCTGTAAATTACCTTGGGCAGTATCGCCATTTTCATGATATTGATTCTTCCTATCCATGAGGATGGAAAGTTCTTCCATTTGTTTGTGTCATTTTATTTTGTTGAGGACTGGTTTGTAGTTCTCCTTGAAGAGGTCCTTCACATCCCTTGTAATTTGGATTCCTAGGTATTTTATTCTCTTTGAAGCAACTGTGAATGGGAGTTCACTCACGATTTGGCTCTCTGTTTGTCTGTTATCAGTGTATAGGAATGCCTGTGATTTTTGCACATTGATTTTGTATCCTGAGACTTTGCTGAAGTTGCTTATCAGCTTAAGGAGATTTTGGGCTGAGACGATGGGGTTTTCTAAATATACAGTCATGTCATCTGCAAACAGGGACAATTTGACTTCCTCTTTTCCTAATTGAATACCGTTTATTTCTTTCTCTTGCCTGATTGCCCTGGCCAGAACTTCCAACACCATGTTGAATAGGAGTGGTGAGAGACGGCATCCCTGTCTTGTGCCAGTTTTCAAAGGGAATGCTTCCAGTTTATGCCCATTCAGTATGATATTGGCTGTGGGTTTGTCATAAATAGCTCATATTATTTTGAGATACGTCCCATCAATACCTACTTTATTGAGAGTTTTTAGCATGAAGGGCTGTTGAATTTTGTCGAAGGCCTTTTCTGCATCTATTGAGATAATCATGTGGTTTTTGTCTTTGGTTCTGTTTATATGATGGATTACTTTTATTGATTTGCATATGTTGAACCAGCCTTGCATCCCAGGGATGAAGCCCACTTGATCATGGTGGATAAGCTTTTTGATGTGCTGCTGGATTTGGTTTGCCAGTATTTTATTGAGCATTTTTGCATTGATGTTCATCAGAGATATTGGTCTAAAATTCTCTTTTTTTGTTGTGTCTCTGCCATAGCCTGTGCATTTCTATATTATCCATATCAGAGTGCAGTAGTTAGGAGTAGTGCATAATCACAAAGAACTGGATTGAAATTACTTTGCCACTATTTATATCGACTCTCTTAATTGGGAAAATCATATAACTTCTCTAATTCCTCAGTCCCTTCATATGTGAAATAGAAATAATATTTACCTTATTGCTTTGTCATTGACAATGAGATAAAGTGCTTAGGATATAAACTGACACAGGGTAAGACCCCAATAAGTTAGAATTGTAGTTATTATTGTTTGTTGCTGACTTTGAAGTCAGAACACAAAACAGTAAGGTATATGTTCGGTAACTCTTCTTTTTGCTTGTTTGTTTGTTTGTTTGTTTGTTTGTTTTGAGACAGGCGTGCCCAGGCTAGAGTACAGTGGCGTAGTCATGACTCACTGCAACCTCTGCCTCCTGGGCTCAATTGATTCTCCCACCTCAGCCTCCCAAGTAGCTGGGACTACAACACATGTCTGCCACCGTGCCCAGCTCATTTTTGTATTCTTGTAGAGATGGGGTTTCTCCGGATTGCCCAGGCTGGTCTCAAACTCTTGAACTTAAGCAATCCACCTGCCTCGGCCTCCCAAAATGCTAGGATTACAGTCATAAGCCATCCCATCCGGCCTCAGTAACTTTTCTTTAAATGCCTTACTTTGGCAAAGAAATCTTTGTAAAACATTCTTATATTTTATCTAAGTTAGTCTTTTTAGTGCTTACAAACAAATACTCTTTCTTACAAAGAGAAATAATCTTGATACATATTAAAACAATAACAAGCATATTTTGACAATGACTAGCCAATGAAAAGCTAGAAGAGCAGCAGGTTTTCTCACAATAAATGAATATCTCAAACATATTTTTTTAAGTTCTTAAGTGGTAAAACATGAATATTATGAACCATGGATGACTCTTTCTGAGAAAA
Source organism: Homo sapiens (assembly GCF_000001405.40). Lineage (NCBI taxonomy): Eukaryota > Metazoa > Chordata > Mammalia > Primates > Hominidae > Homo > Homo sapiens. The sequence continues at coordinate 40,388,870 of NC_000007.14, read as the reverse complement.
AACAAGATCCCTTATATCTAAATTATTATGAATTATCCAAATCCAAAATAATAGGAGACTGTGCTTTCATTTTACTTCAGAGCATGATGATGTGAAAATATAAAACATTAAGTTCACAGGAACATCTGCTAACATTTTAAATGTTAAAATGTTCTGCCCGGGCGCAGTGGCTCATGCCTGTAATCCTGGCACTTTGGGAGGCCACGGCAGGCACATCACTTTAAGTCAGGAGTTCAAGACCAGACTGAGCAACATGGTGAAACCCCATCTCTACTAAAAATGCAAAAATGAGCCATGCATATTGGCACACACCTGTAATCCCAGCTACTTGGGAGGCTGAGGCAGTAGAATCACTTGAATCTGGGTGGTGGAGGTTGCAGTGAGCCAAGATCGCGCCGCTGCACTCCAGCCTGGACGACAAAGCGAGACTGTCTCCAAAAATAAATAAATAAATAAATGCTCTGATTTCTGTTGCTTTCAATGACTTGTATTAAAACTAAGTTAAGGTGAGGAAGTCAAAATTTCCTCATTATATTATAAGCCTGTTCATTATCCTAAGGAAAAGAAAATGCAACCTATTACAAAAGTGCCCAGTAGCTTGCTTCACTAAATGCCTGTAATTACAGCATATTTTTTAGCAGTTTATGAAGGGGATCAAAGAAATATGTTCCAGGTGTAGGCTCTGTACTCAACAGATTTAGACAAAGATTCATTTTTTCAGTCTTAACATTGTGGTAATGTTTATTAGATCTCTATTTCATTTTTCTACTTTCAATTGAAAGTAATGTGCAGACATGTAAGCGACAAATTCAGCATAACACTGACTGAGGCTTTAACAATTAGGTCAGCCCAAGCGTCTCTCTGCCCCACATTTGGGGAGAGGATACTTCCTTCCAAACTTGCATCCGATTCCAACTCATCCGCTTACAGGCTGTGTTTCCTCAGGGAAGTAACAAACTCTCTTCCTCATCTGTGAAATGGGAATAATAGTATCTATCTCAGGAACAGTTAGAGGACGATGAAATGAGAAAGCACCAAGATGTAAAGTACTTAGCATAGTGCCTGGACCCATTAACATTATTCCCTTACATAGCACTCACTGAGGGCCAGGCAGTGTACTAAGCACTTTATAGACATTATTAATCCCTTTCGACAGTACCTACATAGTAGGTATTATTATCATCCTCCTTTAACAGAGGAGAACTCATTTGTACACCACAATTCTGATTATTTCACAGGACAACAGGACCAGAAAAACAAGGATTAGCACTAATCACTCCAAAGGGTTCAGCAAGAAAAATAAACCCGAATGCCCTGAGATAACCATTCCATATAACAATCTAACTTCTTTCCTATTAAACTAGAAAGTAGCATCCACAAGAGAAATCAGAAAAATAGTGACTCAGGTAGTTTCCTGTGTTCTGTTGTTCAGTTCAAAAACCCAAATAGAAAGTAAGTATAGCCCTGAACCCTGTCCATAGATTTCCTGCCTTTGTGTCAGTCTTACATGTGGGCCATGTATCCGATCTGCCCAAGTTACAGAGCTCTAGTTCCCCATGGTAAAGAAATCAGACCATACAGGAAGGGCAAGATCACTCATTTTTGAAGGGAGATGAATAATACCTACGTTTGGGTGCAAGGTAAGTTACAAAGATGTTAATGAGCTTCATAGTTTTATTGCTATCGAATAACCCAAAAGATTGAAATCACATTTAGTAATTTGCATTCCCTATTTTGCCTTTTGATACCTCATCCTACCTCCTGAGAAGAGAGCCAGGTCTTGCATGCTTCCTCACCACAGGGTAGCCCAGCTACCACAGAAGTGGCCTAAGAGAATTTCCTTTACTGGCTATTGTTTTCCAAAAGCTTAGTACTATGGACACAAAAAGAAGCCACTGCATTGGTGTGAGAGTAAGGGATGATGGTGGGGACAGGTCTGGCACAAGCAGCAAGAGAAAGAAAAAGATTGCCCCAAGCTTGAGGAAGGGCTGGTCTGTGGCACCTACAAGTAAATGCACCCAAAAGTTTCCTCTTGCAGAGCTCCAGCAAAGAGGTTGGATCTGCATGGGAAATAAAAGCAAGGTGGCCACACGAGGCTCCATTAAGAGCGCCTGGGCCCACTACTTTCTCACACCCCTGGGACAACAGTCCCAACCCCATCACAGTCCAAGGGATCTGCCGGGGGGATAAAAGTATGTGTATTGTGGGACTCAACTAAGGAACTTTGGAAAGGTAGAAAAGGCTTTTTCTCAGTTGTCACAATGAATCAAAGTCATGGATGCTAAAAACATCCTGCAACGTATAGAACATTCCCACACCACAAGAACTATCCCACCAAAACTCCAGTATGCCTCTGTTGAGAGAAACTAATTAGCTAACAAATTAGGAAATTAGCAAACTAATTTGAACTAAAAACTCAAGGGTCTTACCTGAATACTTTGTTCTATGCACCATCACAGGACCTCAGCCCCACAACTTTGTGAGTGAGGGAGCCCCATTATAACTGAGATTCCCGTCAAGATGGTGGGATGAGGGATCAGTGTTGGATTTAGTTGAATTAAAAGAATTACGGCTCGAGACATTCCTTGCATAACAAGGTTTATTGAGAAGATGTGCTTTCTAGATATTTCAGATTAACAGCTGAGTGTCAGGGGCTTTCTGAAAACATGCAAAGCTCTTGTCCTAGCTGTGCACTCCTGGGGAAGCACCAGCCTCTTCTACAGTAACAGTTCTAAGATGGCTTTCCAGATTGCATCTGTGTCCTAGTACAGTGAAGACGAAACCAGGCCATCCTTCTGTCCCCAAGACAACACCACATATTTCTTTACTCTTACTTCTTTGTGTGTAAAAATGGCAGTAGTAATTACATTTTTAAAGCTTTATTTTTAAGCTATTTTATTTATAATCAATAAAATCTGCTTAAGCATCTGGATATGCATCCATCCCCCCTAACAATTGTTACATGTCACAACAAAATTGGCAAGAAAGGACTTTTGCAATGCTATATAAAGTGACACAAATTATTGGTTTTATAAGAAACGTCCACACGTCACCTTAAAAGCTAACTAAACAGCAATATGCATTTAAAAAATAGAAAGAGACTTGAAGCATTCTCAACTTTAGTACAAAAACAGATTTGAGGAAAGGAATGAAACACATCTATGTACCACCTTTCCCTAAAAATGAAAAGACCATTGTATGATGTAATTAATCTTTATACTTCCTTTCTAAAAAGAAAAAAGGAGAAACATAGTCCTTTTTGCATATGGGAGAAGCAGCACAAGGAATTCAGATTTCTTGCCTAAGGACAGGGATCAGTGAAGATCATGCCAAAATCCTACAGAAAGACTAGGACACTAAATGCCATTCTCTTACGAGCAATTATATCTTTTTTAGAAGACAGCATTCATTGGACACTTACTATATACCAGGCACTATACTTAAAGTACTCATCTCACTTAAATCTTACTACAACCCTGATATGAATTGTAATTTTCCCCATTTTACAGCCGAAGAAGCCAAGAACAGTGACATTAAGTTGCTTATACAAGATCACCTAGCCAATACATACTGATAGAATTTCAGCCAGAACTGTCCCTGACTCCAACCATGAACTCCAAAGCCCATGATCCTAACCCACGAATCCTCCTTTTCTCTTCACCCCTCACATGGTATGATTTTATTAATTTTAGAATTCATATGAATCTTTCCCAGTGGCCATGATGGATTCTAGCAGTGCCAAATTAAAATATGAACGAATAAGACTATTTTCAATTCCCTAGAATGTTATGATCATTGACAATCGTCTCGCCTTTATCTTCCATACTACTCTATCATTAATACTAATCACATTTTATTTTAATTACTTGTTTAATGTGTCTTGCCTCCCAGACCCTTGAGGACAAGAAAAGGCCCTTGAGGACAAGAAAAGAGCCTATCTTTGTTTACCACAAGACTCAGAACCTAGCACAATGACTGATGCATAGTAGGCTCTCAATACGCCTTTGTAGAATGAATGACTGAGGGAGCCGGGCACAGTGGCTCATGCCTGTAATCTTAGCACTTTGGGAGGCCAAGGCACGCGGATCACTTGAGGTCAGGCATTCAAAACCAGCCTGGCCAACATGCTGAAACCCCGTCTCTACCAAAAATACAAAAAAAAAGCCAGGCGTGGTAGCAGGCACCTGTAATCCCAGCTGCTTGGGAGGCTAAGGCAGGAGAATTGCTTGAAGGCAGAGGTTGCAGTGAGCCAAGATCATGCTACTGCACTCCAGCCCAGGCAACAGAGCAAGATACTGTCTCAAAAAAAAAAAAATTACTGACTAAGGGAGCCAGGGTATGTGTTGGCACCTAGCAGTAAGACCACCTTGTCAACTACTGGATGATAACAAACCACAGGGAACCTGTGATCTAAGAAGACAAAACATAAAGATATTAAAAGCAACTAAAAGCCCACATATCCGTGAAGCCTTTCAAAACTCTTCACAGGAGAACTAATAGCTTCACTTTCTTACACGCTGGGCATGATTTGTCTCACACCAGGCTTTCATCATGTTTTGAGCATCATACTTACTCCCTGATGTACACATATTTATCTTTGTATCCCCAGCACCCCACAGAGCAGCTTCACATTCAACCTTTCTTTATCCTCCACCCAATGCACTTACCATTGAACAACTGCCAGTAGTTTGTTCTCCTTTTTATAAGAAAATTAAGGGCTACCCCTTATCTATAGTATTTACCCACAATCATGTGTCAATATATATTTCAAATCTATTTCCCACTATCTCTCCCTCTGCTGCGGGATAATTAAGGAATCAGAGAGACCGAGGGGTTGAGAAGGAATTAATTATTTAGTTACACCATCCCAGTTGGATTAACATCCAAAGGACTGAGCCTCGAACAAAGAGTCAAGCTACCTTTCAAGCATTTCGTGGGGCAGCGGGGGGAGATCTGTGCAGGGGGAAGCATATTACAGAAGGGAGAAACAAAGACAGTTATTTAATTAAGACATGCATTACAACTTCACACATTTTAGTGTCATCTAAGAGAACTACCTGCTGATGCCCTGACGAACTTCTTGCTTTGATCACGCAGTCCATTCTATACCAAATGCCTTTCATTTTCACGTTTAAGACCAGCTCAATTATCATTTCCTCCGGGAAGCCACCCCAAACTTAGTCCCAATGGACACAATCTCTTCCTTATCAGAATTCCTACATTTTATCTATATTTTTCTATTGACATCTATCATGTTACTCTCTAAATTCAGATTATGCTTTGTATTTCCCAATAGATGGGAAGTTCTCTGAAAGCAAATGCCACATATCATTTACCTCCTCATCTTTCACATCAAGTAGCACAGTCCTTTCTATATAGTAAGTACTTTGTAATTTAAGATGAAAAAATAAATAACTGAATAAAGAGTTAAGTCCGTTTTTGTTCTGATGTTCCTATGTCTTGAACCCGTCCTAATAGAAATGGGATGAATCATAAAACATAGTGCTACTTCAATTTTAATCACAGGCTAGCTATGAATCAGGCAAGTTACTTAAAATCGATGGATTCTAGTTTCTTCATCTGAAAAGGAACATGAATTAGAGCAAATCTCTCAGGCCATTACTAATACATAGATGTAGTGTGTAGCATAAAATATGTATATAATTTCAAACAGAGGAAACACAAGTCCCCATACCCCTTGCTCAGTAACTCTTAGTCTATCTTCAGAGCTCAACTCTTCATCACTTTCACAGAGAACTTTCCCAGAGGGCCATGACTACATCAAATCCCTCCACGTAATGCTTTTATAGCACCATAAATCTCCACTTTGCAGGGGGTGTCATACTTACAATTTCTATTTATTTCTGACAATTTAATTAATATCTATCCAAGCTTCTTCTTGTACATTCAATAAAAATAAATTAATGAATGTAATCTGTGTTAAATATGAAATCTTACAAAGCAGACACATCTTTATTAGTTCTCTATGTAATATTATCACGTTTCCACACTAAATACTTTCCAAAGATAATGGATATGAGTACGTCATCTCACAACTTCAAAGAGCTTACAAAGTTTTCAAAGTATCTAAATTGTCATTTCATTGTATATATTCAATGAATATTATCTCAAATAGACTTATTTATAAGTATGCAATACAAACTAAGTTTTCTCTTTTGTTTTAGGTCAGTTCCTTGCTATTTAACACAAATACATTTGCCTTAATAAGCTGTTCCATTTTATTCATCTCCAACTCCTTCCTAAACATAAGACATTCTAGTTAGCACTATAATTATGAGTTAAAGGTAAGAGCTTAGACCACAAAGCAAAATACTTCAATCTTCTTTCACGTCCTCCTTTCTGTGCCCTTGCAGAGTATTTCCTTTCAAAAAAAGGAGATATTGACTAAGACTAGTGACCCATTACCTCTTCCTATCCAATAAAGTGGAGTGGAAGTGCCAAATCCTGAGACTCATGTGCCCTCAAGGGACTACATAATATGAGCTAAGCTCACTTCAAATTTAAAATAGCTTTTCCCTTTTTTAGTCACATGTATAAATGTGTGAAAAGTAAACCTACAAGCAATAAAATTCTATTCCTGACAACATAATTGTCACAGTCACTAGATTATGCAAGATTTTGAAAAACCTATTCAGTCTATCAGAAAAGCCACATGCCCATAAAAACTCTTAAAAGAGGCTACACAGGGACATATGAAAATGAATGTACTAAAGAGCAATTACTATATTTTTAAATATTATAGGTGTTTTTTGAAAAATAAAAACAGCGCTGTTTAGTAAAAATCCATATACCACACTCAAGAAATTCCTAGAGTTACACACACACACACACACAGACACACACACGTCCCTTGATGGTAGGAATCACATTTACTCCAGATCTGTGTCATCAGCACTGGCATGGTGTACTGAATGAAGTGAAATTTATCAACTCCACCTGAAATAATTGTCCAGCAGAAAAAACATATATGAAATAAACCGAAAATGATTAACATAAAAAAATACTAATCACTTGCTCATGTATCCCAAACTAACACTTTTCCAAATGGCATATAGTTATTTGGTTTCATGGGGTTTGTAGATGTGTGTTTGTGATTTTTTTAATGCCTAGGATTCTGGTACAATGAGATAAGGAGGAGTTAGGAAATGATATGATATGAACTGCCAACATATTCCTTAGTAATGTAGTAAGTTTCATTACATCCACACTACCACAACATGATTGAATCTAGGTTGTCTCCTGAGACAAGGAAAAACTCTTTTCACTACAATTAGGAAGTTACTGAATTTTATAGTTTTTTCGGAACCACGAGTCAACAGATTTAGGGTTTTTTTTGTTGTTGTTACGAAAACAGAAACAGTAATGCTCTGAAGACTTTTAAGATTGGAGTTTTAAAGAACATAAAATTATAAAAGTTTCATAATAATACTTTATCCATGTGAACAAAAGAACAACGTACTGTGAGACATGGGCAAAGAAAATCTAAAAAATACCAATGTCTTATAATATTCCTGTAAAAGTGAGCTAAAAATACAATTTTCTTATTATTAAAAATTTATTATTGCTACTACTCTTATCACTACTGCTATTACTACTACTACTAATTTTTCTATTACTTATATATTATATAGCCAGCCATATTCAGGGGAATACTTATCTATACCATAACACTACTATGAGAATCAACTTGAGTCTTAAAGAATCAAATCACTACTGAGGAATCTAAAGAGATAAAACAAAATGGACCCTCTTATTCTTCTCAACACATTCTACTGCCCTCCACCTACTGAGAATAGATATTAAAAATATGACAAATGATGGTATTATTTCAGTATTACAAACTAGGTATGGTCACAGACAGAAACTAGCCTTACTAATTATAGCCAGAAAGAAAAAGCTACGCATTTCATTTTTTAAATCAAAGTTTTCATTTGATTTCACAGTGAATAATCCTGTATGATTTCAAAAAAAGACAGTAAACAGGAAATAGGTAATTATGCAAGCTCTAACCCCCAAAACCTAACAAAATAAATACAGAAAGGAAAATATACAGGCAGCAATCAAATTAAGAAAGTAAGCAAACTATACCACAAATTTTGACAAAATGCCATTCAGAGACAAGAGAGTAAATATTTCCGACATCAACTTTCAGTTCCTTTCATGACTATCAACACGCATTATAGAGACGGAAGAAACTGAATCCAGAAAATTCTGATAATTCTCAGTGAAATCCCCCAATTCGGATGGAAGTAGAATCTAGGGGATGCGATGCAACCCAAAAGAAAAGTCAAAGAAGTCTTCTTCAAAGCAGAATAAGCCATAAATACAGTAAACAGCAACTCGGAGGAGGCAAGCTGCACAGAGTTCAAAAGCCATATGCCGGAGTGACATCAGCACGAATGGCAGGGTAAAGACCTCCGAAAATCCTCTCCTCCACAAAACAATGACAAGATTGGCAAAAATAGTCAATAACAACTTTTTCAGAACTATGGAAATTGAGTAATGGCTTGTAGCAATCCAGGGAGCATGTGTTTAAAAAACAGTTGAATCATGGTAAAAACAGTTGAGTTTATGGCATTTTAACTTGCCCTATTCCCATCTCTGCATCCCCAGCTATGCACTAGCCTTGAAAAACAGTAAGTTGCAATCACAGTGAAAACCAGCAGACTACCAGCCACTAGAAGACACTGAACTGGGTTGGAACTCCTTGGAATCCCCATTAGCACAGAATTGTCATTATTTGACCTATGGAAAATACCTCATTTTCAAGGCTTTCCTTTATTTGACCTGCCTCAGGGTTCTCCCACTGTTAACAACCATCTCTTTGTGGGCATTTGCCAATTGTCTAACATCTCAGCTGCCTGAAACAGTGGATAATATTTGGGGTAAACAATAGACTAAGCAAAAAAACTTATCAAGGGAGATCTGAGGAATGAACATTCATAAGGAGCTTTGAGAAGCTACCACCATATTCCTGTTAACCTATGAGACCCATGAACACATGAAACGTTTGCATGCCCAGGGCTGTGCACAGCTCAGGAATAACTTGAGAAGGGCCTACAATTTCACTTCTTACTAACCTTGAGGCTCTGTGCAATAAAGAGGTAAAGACTAAGGCAGAAGAGTCAATGGACTGGCTGAGCATGGAAGGCAAGCCTCAGCACAGACAGAGCCCTTCAGCAAATACTTGAAGACAGGAAATCTCTGTCAAATTATTATCTGACTACCAAGCTAATTGAGAAGACACTCAGTGGTCACATACAACAAAGAATATAAACTTTACAGATTTAGTTCAGAAAACTGACCAGGAAAACAACAACAAATCCTAAAAAAAGAGCCAGCATATAATTTCCAGAATTGTCATTAATTTTATTTAAAATGTTTAATATTCAGCAACAACAAAAATACAAGGCATGTGGGAATATTAAAAACTTATAGGCCTCAAAAAAATAAGAAGTAGTCAATAGAAATTGTCCTTGAGGAGTGCCAGATGTTAGACTTACCAGACAAAGACTAGACTAGACTGCATTAGTTTTGTAAGGTTGCCATAACAAACTATCACAGACTAACTAGGTGGCTTACAACAATAGGAATTTATTCTCTGGTAGTTTTGGAGACCAGAAGTTTAAACTCAAGGTGTGGGCAGCACTGTGTATCCCTCTAAAAGCTATAGGACAGATTCAGTTCCTTGCTCTTTCTACCTTCTGGTAGCTGCCAGCATTCCTTGCTTTGAGGCTTCATTACTCCAATCTTTCTGCACAATGCCTTCTCCTTACCTCTGTGTCTCAAGACATCTTCTGCCTCTCTCTGATAAGGATGTATGTAATTACATTCAGGGCCCGCCAAGATAATCCAGGCTAACTTCCACCCCTCAAGATCCTTAACTTAATCACATCTTAACATATGTGATAATAGTCACACTTTTCTCATATAAGCCAGGCTCCAATGATAAGGACATGGACATATCTCAGGGGCCACCTTTCAGCTCAATACAAAAGCGTTTCAATCAGCTGTGTAAAATATGTTCGGAGAATTAAAGAAAAGCATGTCCTAAAGAACTAAAGAAAGTATGAGAAAGGCCAGGCATGGTGGTTCATGCCTGTAATCCCAGCACTTTGGGAGGCCAAGGCAGGCAGATCACCTGAGGTCAGGAGTTCCAGAACAGCCTGGCCAATGTTGCAAAACCCCATCTCTGCTAAAAATAGAAAAATTAGCCAGGCATGATGGCACATGCCTGTAGTCCCAGCTACTCAGGAGGCTGAGGTGGGAGGATCTCTTGAACCTGGGAGGCAGGGATTGCAGTGAGCTGGGACAGTGCCACTGCACTCCAGCCTAGGTGACAGAGCAAGACTCCATCTGAAAAGAAAAAAAGGTATGAGAAAGGTGCCTCACTGAACAGAGTATCTGGAGTTGAAAAGTACAATAACAGAAATGTTAAAATCACCAGGACTCAATAGCAGATTTGCAGTGGCAGAAGAATCAGTAACTTTGAAGGTAGGTCAACTGGGACTATCCAGTCTGAATAGTAGAAAGAAAAAAGGATGAAGAAAAACTGACAGATCCTCAGAGAGCTGTGGAACGTAATCAAGAATACTAACAGGTGCACAACAGGAGTCCCAAAAAAAAGAGGAGAAGAGAGAAGGAGGAGAAGAGGAGGACAGGGGATTGAGAAGTGGGGCCTAAAAGAATATTTAAGGTAACAGCCAAATGTACCATCTTTTTTGGAAAAAAAAAATATCCTACACATCAAAGAAGCTCAATTAACTCCAAGGTGGTTCCATACTACACAAACACCTAAACCAAACAATCAAAAGCCAAAGGCAAAGAGAGAATCCTGAAAGCAGCAGGAGAGAAGCAATTCATTACATACAACAGACCATCAATAAGGTTAACCAATGATTTCTGATTAGAAACCATGGAGGCCAGAAGACAGTAGAATGGCATATTATATCTAAAGTGCTGAAACAGAAAACACAAACAAAAACATATACCAAGAATTCTACATTGACAAAACTATTCTTCATATATAAAGGACAAATTAAAATTATAAAATAATTAATTGCAAGCAAACCTGCGCTACAAGTAACACTAAACAGAATCCCTAAAACTGAAATGAAAGGACACTATATAGTAACTAAAATCCACATAAATAAAGAATACTTGTAGGATAACTACATAGGTAAATATAAAAGACAACCAAAATGTATTTCCGTTTGTAACTCTTTTGTCCTCCAATCTCATTTTAAAAATAACTGCATACTTGCACACAGGGTGGGGAACATCACTTTCTAAAGAATAATGGCTGAAGTCCGGGCGTGGTAGCTCACGTCTGTAATTCCAGCACTTTGGGAGGCCGAGGCAGGTGGATCACCTGAGGTGAGAAGATCGAGACCAGCCTGGCCAGCATGGTGAAACCCCATCTATACTAAAAATACAAAAATTAGCTGGGTGTGGTGGCTCACGCCTGTCATCCCAGCTACCCAGGAGGCTGAGGCACAAGAATCGCTTGAATCCGGGAGGCGGAGGTTGCAGTGAGCAGAGATCATGCCACTGCACTCCAGCCTGGGCAATAGAGTGAGACTAGGTCTCAAAAAAGAAAGAAGGAAGGAAGGAAGGGAAGAAAGAAAGAAAAGAAAGAAAAGAAAAGAAAAGAAAGAAAGAAAGAAAGAAAGAAAGAAAGAAAGAAAGAAAGAAAGAAAGAAAGAAAGAAAGAAAGAAAGAGGAAGGCTGAAAATTTCCTTTCCAAGTTTGGTAAAAGACATAAACACAGATTGAAAAATGTGAGTGAACACCAAAGGATAATCACCTATATGGGAACTATAGCTCAAATGACTATGGATTTCCTACCAAAAACCATGAAGACCATTAGAAATTGGCACAAAATTTTTAACACGCTGGGGGAAAAAATATATAAACTGGAGTTCTACATGCAGTGAAAATACCCTTCAGAAATGCAAATAAAATAATGACATTTTCAGATGAATGAAAACTAAGAATTTGTAGCAGCAGACCTGTTCTAAAAGAATGGAAGTTTTCATACAGAAGGAAAATGGTAACAGAAGGAAACTTCAATAGAGTAGTATGCAACTGTTAAAAAAAAAAAGAGTGATTATATCTTTATATGTTGACACGAGAAGACATTCAAGATATATTAGATAGGCCAGGCACAGTAGCTCACGCCTGTAATCCCAGCACTTTGGGAGGCCGAGGCAGGTGGATCACCTGAGGTCAAGAGTTTGAAACCAGTCTGGCCAACATGGTGAAACCCCATCTCTACTAAAAATAGAAAAATTAGCCGGGCATGGTGGTGCACACCTGTAGTCCCAGCTACTCAGGAGGCTGAGGCAGGAGAATCGCTTAAACCCGGAAGGCAGAGGTTGCAGTGAGTGGAGATCACGTGCCACTGCATTCCAGCCTGGGTGACAGAGCAAGACTCCAGCTCAAAAAAAAAAGAAAAAAAAAAGATACATTAGATAAAAATTGCAAATAGAAAAACTATATTAATGTTGTGATCACAACGGTTGAAATAATAAGTAGGCAACTAATTATCTACAGAAAGATAAATACATTAATGCTATATACATAGATACATACATAAAATTTGCAAAAAGACATGTAAGAATGTATTCATAGTGATTAGTGAAAGGAATTGAAAAAGGACATATTTTACCTTCCCTTCATAGCTTTTTCTGTCATTTAAACTTTTACATCCAAAATATACTAATCCTATAACTTTTTAAAAGAATTAATCAATGTTCTAATTTAGCATTATGAAATTTTCATGAGATATCTATACATATAAGGTCCCCTGTTGCTATTACGTATGAATTTCTGTTATAACACACATTAGAAAAGCATATGCTACATCCTCCATCTGACACGAGAATCTGTGGTACACTTTCTCATGAATACCCATGGTATTTTTCTTCTCAGCTATATTCTAACCATTCCTCCATTCATTCACAAACACAGAGCATCCATTCTGGCATGGTACTAGACTCTGAATTCAAACTCCCTGCCCTATGAAATGCACATTCCCTGAGGGTACTATGGGGCACAGTATTATGAGGGTACGTTACTGTAAACATAATTTATATGTCTATTTATATGTCTATAATTTATTTAAGACAATTATAAATTGAGAAATACTGTGGTGAAAATTAGTACAGGACTAAAGAACAGAATAAAGGTAGAAGGAACTTCTTTTTAGATAGGGTTGTCTGGGACAATCTCTCAAATGAGGGATAGTTGTGCTAATAGGTAAAGAGTCTAAAGGATAAGAAAGAATCAGTTCCACTGACAGTTGGGGAAGAACATTCCATGAAGGAAATAAAGCATGTGCCAAGGCCATGAGATGGGGAGTAGGAGAGAAACTCCTAATTTCAAATCTTGATATGATAATTTTTTTATAACCTTATTTCTCCTCCAAATCATCCAAAGACTCAAAGGTCCACTGGACTCAGACAAGTCTTCCCACTCAAAGTTTCCAATCAAAGGGACTTGCCTTAATTAGATGGCTCACAAAATAATCTTCTACATACACAAAGAAACTTGATTGCATCTTTCTAAACTTGCCTCACCCTTAAAATTGTGTTACTGATAAAACACCATTCTCCCACTGACCCTCAAAAGTGTACTACTAACATCAGCCAGTATTCACAGCAACACTCAGGACATTTCCTCACTTACCCGCAACTGCACCGTGATTCCTTCTCCCAGCTCAGAACACGTAGCTTTGTGACGCTGTCTGTACTAATGGTTTCCCACAGAATTGGACCTATATCATTTATGGTCAAAGTTTCAGGACCTCCCTTCTGAAGACTGAGCCCACACGTGACAATCTTTATTCCTACTCACTTGTATGTCGGCCACCCAACTAACATAGAGTTTGTGGAAGAGGGAGTGGAGTTGGGGGACAAAGAGGGCCAGATAGCATCCATAATCTGGTCCCTAACAACTTTCCACCAGAGTCCCCTTCATGAAAACCTAGGCTCAAGCCAGATAAAATTGCTCTCTGCACTCACGCCCACATATGTCTCACCATGTTCTTGTTTGTGTGATTCAATCAGCCCAGGATTACATGTTCATACAACATCAGAATACAAGAAGGTGATATAAGTGACTCAGCTGAGAAAAGCAGAGTGGTAGACACTGAGAAATCAAGAAAAACCTTTTTAGACCTAAGGCAGTCAAATTCACACCCTTTGGAAAATGCAGAGCTAGTTATACCTAACTCATATTCAGGATGAATTCAGTCCATGAACCGTTCAATTTGAGACAACCCTAGTTCCATATATGTCTAGATTTTACCTTTCCTCTGTCTTGCAAGAACAATTCCTCCCAGAAAATTTGTGCTGATACCCTTTATTTGGATTAATATCTTGACTGTGTCCCCACTTGATGGAAAGGGAAAACATGGAAAGTGGAGCTTGAACGCTCAGGTTAAATCCACTTATTTACTTGTGACTTAAGGGAATTAATATTTCTGAACCTTAGCTTCCTCATCTGTAAAATGAGGATGACACCACCTACCACCTCACAGGGTCATTTTGAAGATCAAAACAGAAAGCACGTGCAAAAAGCAACATACAAATATTAACTCAAACTGTAATTGTGGATTTTTTTCATCTTCATTCCAGAAATAGCTATTGCTCAAGGCTACATTAATATTCCTCCTTTTTCAACCCTATATATGCATGTGCCCAGCAAAGTTCCTGAAACATGTTGTTAATATTTTGCCTCATGGGTTCATACAGTTAGTATTGTGCATCTCTAAGTAAGGTGCCATGTAACTCAGTAGATTCACTGAAAACTTCAAGTCTTGTTTCACAGCCAAACAAAACAACAACAACAAAAATTAACCAGAATATTTTTCCACTTAACCAGACATGATAGGGGTTCTAGTAATTGACGCCAAAGTAAATTGGGGACAAAAGAAAATTAATATAGGCATTATGTACCTCTTTATGATAATGAATTCAACTTGCACTTTTTTACTATAAAGCATTTGAAACATTCTTACAGATTTCTATCACTCCTGTTATTGACTCATTTTTATTAAAACAGTTATCTTGTCAAAACTCCTGAAAGTACAGTCCAAAATAAATTTGGCACAAACATAATTAGTCAATCATACATAAGTCACCTGTTTATCTTGTTGTTTCTTACCAAAATAAACTTGCATGTGACTTCCAGTAATATCAAGGACAATCAAAAATATGCATTTGGGAACAGAATGAAGTCCACAGACACTTAGCATTGTCCTAATTTGATTTTGAGGACTTCTTTGAACTATATTCCTTCTTCAGGAGTATATACTCTCAGATTGAAAATACTCACATGTCAAATGAGTACCCTCAAATTATGAGGGCACTATTAATTTGGAATTCATTTTTCTAAATCTTAAAATGCTGTTCAAAAATAAAATTTATAAAGTTTTAGGATACTTTTCATTGATCTAAATTCTATATATTAATCATAGATTCTAAATTTTCTAGAATCTATAGATTCTAAATTTTCTAGAATCTATAGATTCTAAATTTTCTAGAATCTATAGATTCTGAATTCTATATATTAATTATTATAGCTAAGTGGAAAACCCAGAGAATTAAATAGGCATTATTTCTAGAATCACTTAACTTCTTCAAAGTAAAAGGAGAAGAGAAATTTAACTTTCTAACTTGAACTTTAAATCACATATTCTAGGAATTTGTAGTACGATAGTGTTACTTCTTCTGACTTCACTAGCAACAATTTTCACCTATGAATTCCCCAAAATTGTTTAGTAATAATTACTACTATGATACACAATTAAGCCATATGATATAATTTTTACATACAGCACAAATCTTAATTCTTAGAGTTGGCTCTTGCAACCTAATAATCCTCTGTCTGTATATATTTGTCTTACAATTTCCTTTTCATGACAAATCAATATGGATTTGAATTATAAATTATTGGAGGACAAAATGCGTGGTTACTTGCATTGAATCTTTTCCGTTATTTGAGCAAGAATGCACCTGCTCCTCAGTCATATTTGTTTTAGATAAAAATTACCTTTGCTTGTTAGAAAGCATTATCCTGGAATATTCCATTCTGTTAGAGAACATTCTCTGTGATCTTTATGTTCCTCTTTTCAAAGTTTCTACAAATGTATGATTTACTTGCCTGCATAATTTTAGACATTTTTCCACTGACATAAAAGATTAATCCTATTAATAATTAACACAACATTGGGATGGTGTTTTTCAGTTGAAAAATAAATCTATAGCCTACAGGAGTATCTATTTCCCAGTAAAATCAAAGGCAAAACTACAGAAGATATTTCTCTGCCAACTTTATGTAAATAACATAAACAGCTCAAAAGAAAAAAGTGTTTAGGAGTATCCACAGCACAATTTTTAAAAATCAAATTAAGGTATTTGATGTGGAAATAGAAAAATAAAAGAGAGCAAACCATTCAGTACATTTTTACAATTAGTTTCATTCGTCGATTGCAAAGTGCTTTGCTAACATTAATTAATTAAAGATGTAGGGTCTAAGATCTGCAGTACATTTTGTAATGGCCTCAATCAGTCTTCAAAATTCCAGATGACTAATAAAGACACAGACACCTGACAGATGAAGTCACAGAGGTCATCTCCATGTGAATCTTTCAGCTCTTCAACTCTTATTCCATTACTGGACTTGGAAGAATACAGGAAGAGCGTCAAAAAAATATAATCCAAAAACAAACCTAAAAAAAAAACCTCAAACCAGTAAAACCATGTCAAAAACACACAGACAACCCTGGCTCTCATTTGCAGTATGTGTTTCATAATCCTGATTTTGTTTAAAAAACACACTGTCCTCCTCAACCTAGACTATTTTTATACAGATGTGTGTGTGTGTGTGTGTGTGTGTGTTCGAGATGTATATACATACATCCAAAGCAATAATTATACTTTTTGTTTACTTAAAAGGATTAGAAAGAAATTCCAGTGAACATGATTTTTAAATTAGATGGAAGAAAATCAGAAGATTCTCTTCTTCCTATATCAGGAAATGAAGTGAAAGTTTTTCTGTAATCTTTTCGAAGATCAGAACAATATTGATGTTAATTCTAATTGAACAGTGACAATTAAGACAATAAGGAAACAATACCAAAAGTCTTTAATGACTGAAAATATCTTCTAAAAATGCTAAATTTAATGAATCTCTTGTGCAAAGCTAAAATTTCTTTGTAATATTTTTAAACAATGTATAATATTTTTGAAAGCTCCCAAATCTTGCTCAGTTAGCAGCAGTAGAAAAACCACGATGTAATGAATTTGTTTTCTCTGTTATTTAAAAATGCTTTTAGGAACCTGAAGTGCACAAAAAAGCATGTGTTGCCTTAACCGGACTCCACAGCTGCATTCCTGATAGTTAGTAGCCAATTTTCTATTACACAGTCAATCTTTTCAACTCTTCCCTCACCTGACACCACCAATTACCATGGGTTCACCAGCTATAGGAGAAATAAAAATGACAAATCAAACAAACAAACAAAACACAAATGCAAAGCTTTTTTATTATTATTTTAGTTTCTGGCTCATCCTGTGCACTATTTAACTTTTGTAGTCACTGAAAGCAACCAATCTGGGTACTTATACAGCAAAAAACTCTTTTCAAGTAACTAAGAAAAAAGAGAGAAAGTGAGGGAAAATTGGGTAAGAAACAGATGAGAACTGGTCAAAATGGACTCTTCCCTTCTGGCATTTTTTTCTTAATGTTCATATGAGTAAAAACATTTAGCATGAAAGAAACACTCATGGTCTTTGGAAGTGGGACTATCTAGCTCTGGGCCATTAGTTACATGAGTCTGGCCAGGTCGTGTAATATCTCTGAGCATTAGTTCCTCCAACTATATATCCTGTACAACAGTACTGAGAGTTAACTAAGATGAAGGGCTTGAGACACCATAGGTATTCAATAAATGAACACTAAGCCTATTGTTATTAGTTTAAAGCAAATAGCACTTATATTTTCCCACAAATGCAAATAGCAGTTACAGCACTTTATAAAAATACTTTTTTCTTACTAAGAAGTAATATGTAAAAATTATAGAAATATTTAGAAAGCCCTGAAAAGCAAAAAAAAAGAAAAAGGAAATCCTCCCAAATCTTAAAACCAAGAGATACCACATTTAACATTTAAATGTCTCTCTGTCTCCATCTCTCTCTCTGTCCCCCACTCTCTCTCTCCCCCATCTCTCTCTCTCCTCTCTCTCTCTCCCCCATCTCTCTCTCTCTTCTCTCTCTCTCTCCTTTGCCCTCCAAATCCATCCTAAGCATCATGAAAAGAATCTCTGCAAGTGAGGATCTCTAGGTATGTTTTTTCCTTCCATAGCCTCAATTACATACAAAGCAACCAACTTCATATGGGGGGATCAGCAATTACACCTTTTGAGGGAAATCACTCCTGATCATCCAGGTTCGGCAGAGTTAAGAGAATACATGTGTAGAGAGGAGCAGCTACAGTGCAGGGCCCTACAGATCTCCCCTGAAGACTCATTCTCCCTCAAAACTGATCCTTCCCTGGCTCTTGCAAAACTTATTTTTGTTGTCTTCCTTCTTTTTTGCCTATCTTTTCTAGGCGTTCTTTACTAATTAAGCTGAGAGGAAAGGGACGCAGATGTGATGAGACAACTTTAGTAGAAAGTTATGCTTCGGTCATGGATTGCCAGTGAGAACTGACCCTGGCAGTAGATCAAAATACACATTCCCACTAGTGGGTAAACTTGGATATTTACATACTGCCCTAAACCAAGGATCCAACATACCCAGAGTGTCTCATTTTTCTCTAATACAAAGTAGCTGCAATATCATGTATTGCATGAACCATGAGTCCTCGAACTGGAAATCTCTTCAGTATCATACCACCATTCCCCACGAGCACTAGGGCCTGACCATAAACCTCACTAATCTTGCCAGAGCCCTGAAATGCTGCTAGATGCTAGCAGTTTCTTTCCTCCTTTCCATGACCTATCAAAGCACTCACACAATCAGCAGGAGCCTAGGATTTATTGCAACTGAATAAACTTTGCTTGGACTCCTAATCCACAGGCCCACTTTATTCTCTGTGGCTTCCATCCAGTAATTCTACTGCCATTTCCCACCCATGTCAACTGGAATCTCTGACATTAATCCTAATCCAGATTGGATTCAACCTTTACATGCCTCTTAAATGGTATAATTGGGACTGATGTCTGCACCCTCCCCCTTCTTAGGGGCCAGAGCTGGAGCAGAATCATTGTTTTACTCAACTTCCTTCCTTCTTGCAACAGCCCATTATAATATTCCATAAGGGGCCAGACACAAATGTATATGTTTTAAGCGTTATACATCAAGCTCCTGCAATCATGGGTGTGGGAAGTCAGAAGCAGAATAGAATATTTGATCTGTGAAAAGGAAAAAATGATAGAAAAAAATGGTAGACATAACTAGGAGTCAGTTTCTTCAAGAAAAACTCAATTTAGAAGTCATCTTCTTCCCACAAAAGCCAGAGAAATCTCTAATAATAGTCTACTTCATTGCCATCTTCCACTCCACTTCCAAAGCAGAGGGAAGACAATTACAACAAGAATTTTGCTAAATGTGTTGAAGTATTAGTTCCCAAATGCCTCTCTGCCATCTAGTGCTAATCTCACTGCATGTGAATCACCTGGAAAACTAATTAAAAAAACACTCAATCCCCACTCAAAAGTTATAATTTTTTTTTTTTTTTAAGATAGAGTCTCGCTCTGTTACCCAGGCTGGAGTACAATGGCGTGATCTCAGCTCACTGCAACCTCCTCCTCCTGCGTTCAAGCTATTCTTCTGCCTCAGCCTCCCAAGTAGCTGGGATTACAGGCACCCGCCACCATGCCTAGCTAATTTTTGTATTTTTAGTAGAGATGCAGTTTTGCCATGTTGGCCAGGCTGGTCTCGAACTCCTGACCTCAGGTGATTCGCCCTCCTCAGCCTCCCAAAGTACTGGAATTACAGGTGTCAGCCACCACACCCAGCCAAAAGTTGTAGTTGAATGAGCCTAAAGCCCAGGAACTTGCATGTTCAAAAGGCCTCCATATTACTCTAAAAATCAGCCAAATTTGAAAATCAGTACATTATAGGAAAATGGACTTCCTTTCATTTCATGAGGTTTCATGCCTAGTTCAGAGTAGTGGTAAATTAGAGTCAAAACTAGTTTCAGACCTAGGTATACGTTCAATGAAGATGCTTTGTACTTGAAGTCTGAGCTTGAGGCAACTGCAGACAAAAGATTCCAAGTCTATGCAGTGATCATATCAGCTTCTGTGTAAGTAAGAACTTTCAGATATTAATAATGAACAATAGTCCGGGTGTGGTGGCTCACACCTGTAATCCCAGCACTTTGGGAGGGCAAGGAGGAGGGATCACAAGGTCAAAAGTTCGAGACCAGTCTGGCCACCACAGTGAAACCACATCTCTACTAAAAATACAAAAAATTAGCTGGGTGTGGTGGTATGCACCTGTAATCCTAGCTACTCAGGACGTTGAAGCAGGAGAATCACGTGAACCTGGGAGGCAGAGGTTGCAGTGAGCCGAGATCAGCCATTGTACTCCAGCCCAGGCGACAGTGCAACACTCCATCTCAAAAATAAATAAATAAATAATCACAAAATAAAAAAGTATAGACTAAAATGTTATAATGTGAGATCTGACTTACGAGGGAAAAGCAGGAAGTAAGAGGTCAAGGAAGACTTTCGGAGATGACAATAGAGACAAAATCTGGAGGATAAGTAGGCTTTTCCTAGTGAAGGGGTGCTGGAAGTGCTCTAGGGAGATGGAAACATGGCAGGAGCAAAGGCTTAGAGGCTAGAAGAGGAGTGACTCATCTAGGAAATGAAAGCAGGTGGTTTGCCTGGAGTGCCATGAAGGAGGAGGAGAATGGTGGGAGGCATGGATGGAGAGGCTGTGAGGACAGATGGCAAGGGCCAGGAAGGCCAGGTTAAGGGCTGGGTCTTCATCCTTGAATCAGTTGGGTGACATGACGCTTGGGAGGCAAAAGTGGAAGCAGAGAGACAAGAATGAGAGTCTGCAATATTCTAAGGGAGAGATAACAGACCACGGTCGGGCAGCAGAGGTGGAAAGAAGAGGAAATAAGAAGAGAGATTTGATAGATGAGGACAGATGTGTTTGCCTTAGTTAAATATTGCATTAATTTCTATTATATTTCTTTTTGCTCTTACCTACTATTTCTGGCAAGTGGTGCTGGTTTTCCTTTTACGGAAGTAAAATAACATTTCTTTTCTCAGAAAAAAAAATTAAGTGTTTTTTGAGGGGCACAGGTGTTGTTTAGTAAGTTCATATACTTTTAGCGAATATCGCAGTGCCAGCCATTTTATTTTATTTTTTTTTTCTGGGTAATTTATTTATTTATTTATTTTATTATTATTATACTTTAAGTTTTAGGGTATAGGTGCAAAATGTGCAGGTTAGTTACATATGTATACATGTGCCATGCTGGTGTCCTGCACCCATTAACTCGTCATTTAGCATTAGGTATATCTCCTAATGCTATTCCTCCCCCCCTCCCCCCACCCCACAACAGTCCCCGGAGTGTGATGTTACCCTTCCTGTGTCCATGTGTTCTCATTGTTCAATTCCCACCTATGAGTGAGAACATACGATGTTTGGTTTTTTGTCCTTGCGATAGTTTACTGAGAATGATGATTTCCAATTTCATCCATGTCCCTACAAAGGACATGAACTCATCATTTTTTATGGCTGCATAGTATTCCATGGTGTATATGTGCCACATTTTCTTAAACCAGTCTATCATTGTTGGACATTTGGGTTGGTTCCAACTCTTTGCTACTGTGAATAGTGCCGCAATAAACATACGTGTGCATGTGTCTTCATAGCAGCATGATTTATAGTCCTTCGGGTATATACCCAGTAATGGGATGGCTGGGTCAAATGGTATTTCTAGTTCGAGATCCCTGAGGAATCGCCACACTGACTTCCACAATGGTTGAACTAGTTTACAGTCCCACCAACAGTGTAAAAGTGTTCCTATTTCTCCACATCCTCTCCAGCACCTGTTGTTTCCTGACTTTTTAATGACTGCCATTCTAACTGGTGGGAGATGGTATCTCATTGTGGTTTTGATTTGCATTTCTCTGATGGCCAGTGATGATGAGCATTTTTTCATGTGTCTTTTGGCTGCATAAATGTCTTCTTTTGAGAAGTGTCTGTTCATATCCTTCGCCCACTTTTTGATGGGATTGTTTGTTTTTTTCTTGTAAATTTGTTTGATTTTATTGTAGATTCTGGATATTAGCCCTTTGTCAGATGAGTAGGTTGAGAAAATTTTCTCCCATTTTGTAGGTTGCCTGTTCACTCTGATGGTAGTTTCTTTTGCTGTGCAGAAGCTCTTTAGTTTAATTAGATCCCATTTGTCAATTTTGGCTTTTGTTGCCATTGCTTTTGGTGTTTTAGACATGTAGTCCTCGCCCATGCCTATGTCCTGAATGGTAATGCCTAGGTTTTCTTCTAGGGTTTTTATGGTTTTAGGTCTAATGTTTAAGTCTTTAATCCATCTTGAATTAATTTTTGTATAAGGTGTAAGGAAGGGATCCAGTTTCAGCTTTCTACATATGGCTAGCCAGTTTTCCCAGCACCATTTATTAAATAGGGAATCCTTTCCCCATTTCTTGTTTTTGTCAGGTTTGTCAAAGATCGGATAGTTGTAGATATGTGGCGTTATTTCTGAGGGCTCTGTTCTGTTCCACTGATCTATATCTCTGTTTTGGTACCAGTACCATGCTGTTTTGGTAACTGTAGCCTCGTAGTAAAGTTTGAAGTCAGGTAGCGTGATGCCTCCAGCTTTGTTCTTTTGGCTTAGGATTGACTTGGCGATGTGAGCTCTTTTTTGGTTCCATATGAATTTTAAAGTAGTTTTTTCCAATTCTGTGAAGAAAGTCGTTGGTAGCTTGATGGGGATGGCATTGAATCTATAAATTACATTGGGCAGTATGGCCATTTTCAGGATATTGATTCTGCCTACTCATGAGCATGGAATGTTCTTCCATTTGTTTGTGTCCTCTTTTATTTCATTGAGCAGTGGTTTGTAGTTCTCCTTGAAGAGGTCCTTCACATCCCTTGTAAGTTGGATTCCTAGGTATTTTATTCTCTTTGAAGCAATTGTGAATGGGAGTTCACTCATGATTTGGCTCTCTGTTTGTCTGTTATTGGTGTATAAGAATGCTTGTGATTTTTGTACATTGATTTTGTATCCTGAGACTTTGCTGAAGTTGCTTATCAGCTTAAGGAGATTTTAGGCTGAGACAAAGGGGTTTTCTAGATATACAATCATGTCATCTGCAAACAGGGACAATTTGACTTCCTCTTTTCCTAATTGAATACCCTTTATTTCCTTCTCCTGCCTGATTGCCCTGGCCAGAACTTCCAACACTATGTTGAATAGGAGTGGTGAGAGAGGGCATCCCTGTCTTGTGCCAGTTTTCAAAGGGAATGCTTCCAGTTTTTGCCCATTCAGTACGATATTGGCTGTGGGTTTGTCATAGATAGCTCTTATTATTTTGAGATACATCCCATCAATACCTAATTTATTGAGAGTTTTTAGCATGAAGAGTTGTTAAATTTTGTCAAAGGCCTTTTCTGCATCTATTGAGATAATCATGTGGTTTTTGTCTTTGGTTCTGTTTATATGCCGGATTACATTTATTAATTTGCATATACTGAACCAGCCTTGCATCCCAGGGATGAAGCCCACTTGATCATGGTGGATAAGCTTTGTGATGTGCTGCTGGATTCGGTTTGCCAGTATTTTATTGAGCATTTTTGCATCAATGTTCATCAAGGATATTGGTCTAAAATTCTCTTTTTTGGTTGTGTCTCTGCCCGGCTTTGGTATCAGGATGATGCTGGCCTCATAAAATGAATTAGGGAGGATTCCCTCTTTTTCTATTGATTGGAATAGTTTCAGAAGGAATGGTACCAGTTCCTCCTTGTACCTCTGGTAGAATTCGGCTGTGAATCCATCTGGTCCTGGACTCTTTTTGGTTGGTAAGCTATTGATTATTGCCACAATTTCAGAGCCTGTTATTGGTCTATTTTAAAGGTCGGGTTACCCACAAAGGGAAGCCCATCAGACTAACAGCGGATCTACTGGCAGAAACTCTACAAGCCAGAAGAGAGTGGGAGCCAATATTCAACATTCTTAAAGAAAAGAATTTTCAACCCAGAATTTCATATCCACCCAAACTAAGCTTCATAAGAGAAGGAGAAATAAAATACTTTACAGACAAGCAAATGCTGAGAGATTTTGTCACCACCAGGCCTGCCCTACAAGAGCTCCTGAAGGAAGCACTAAACATGGAAAGGAACAACCGGTACCAGCCACTGCAAAATCATGCCAAAATGTAAAGACCATTGAGACTAGGAAGAAACTGCATCAACTAACGAGCAAAATAACCAGCTAACATCATAATGACAGGATCAAATTCACACATAACAATATTAACTTTAAATGTAAATGGACTAAATGCTCCAATTAAAAGACACAGACTGGCAAATTGGATAAAGAGTCAAGACCCATCAGTGTGTTGTATTCAGAAAACCCATCTCACGTGCAGAGACACACATAGGCTCAAAATAAAAGGATGTAGGAAGATCTACCAAGCAAATGGAAAACAAAAAAAGGCAGGGGTTTCAATCCTAGTCTCGGATAAAACAGACTTTAAACCAACAAAGATCAAAAGAGACAAAGAAGGCCATTACATAATGGTAAAGGGATCAATTCAACAAGAAGAGCTAACTATCCTAAATATATATGCACCCAATACAGGAGCACCCAGATTCATAAAGCAAGTCCTGAGTGACCTACAAAGAGATTTAAGACTCCCACACAATAATAACGGGAGACTTTAACACCCCATTGTCAACATTAGACAGATCAACGAGACAGAAAGTTAACAAGGATACCCAGGAATTGAACTCAGCTCTGCACCAAGCGGACCTAATAGACATCTACAGAACTCTCCACCCCAAATCAACAGAATATACACTTTTTTCAGCACCACACCACACCTATTCCAAAATTGACCACATAGTTGGAAGTAAAGCTCTCCTCAGCAAATGTAAAAGAACAGAAATTATAACAAACTGTCTCTCAGACCACAGTGCAATCAAACTAGAACTCAGGATTAAGAAACTCACTCAAAATCGCTCAACTACATGGAAACTGAACAACCTGCTCCTGAATGACTGCTGGGTACATAATTAAATGAAGGCAGAAATAAAGATGTTCTTTGAAACCAGCGAGAACAAAGACACAACATACCAGAATCTTTGGGACACATTCAAAGCAGTGTGTAGAGGGAAATTTATAGTACTAAATGCCCACAAGAGAAAGCAGGAAAGATCCAAAATTGACACCGTAACATCACAATTAAAAGAACTAGAAAACCAAGAGCAAACACATTCAAAAGCTAGCAGAAGGCAAGAAATAACTAAAATCAGAGCACAACTGAAGGAAATAGAGACACAAAAAACCCTTCAAAAAATTAATGAATCCAGGAGCTGGTTTTTTGAAAGGATCAACAAAATTGATAGACCGCTAGCAAGACTAATAAAGAAAAAAAGAGAGAAGAATCAAATAGATGCAATAAAAAATGATAAAGGGGATATCACCACCGATCCCACAGAAATACAAACTACCATCAGAGAATACTACAAACACCTCTATGCAAATAAACTAGAAAATCTAGAAGAAATGGATAAATTCCTCGACACATACACCCTCCCAAGTCTAAACCAGGAAGAAGTTGAATCTCTGAATAGACCAATAACAGCCATTTTAAAAATGGGTTGTTATTTGGGGTTTTGGTATTGAGGGATTTTTTTGTTTGCATTTTTCCTTCTGATTTTTAAAATTAGATCTATTTCATATACTATAAGACAAAATTGCACTTTAGAAATAGAATGGCTAAAAGCCACATTCTAATCACACCATATAGATCAAGACTACATTTTTTTCCAAAATTAGATCATAGAGATAGCTGTACAAACTTGTGAATATACAAAAAAACCACTGAGTTGTACATTTCAAAGGACTGATTTTATAATATATAAATTATATCATTATATCTCAATTTTTAAAATTATATTGTTTCCAAACTTATGCTTCCACTTTCAACTTTCCTTCTCTGTTGGATATAATCATTATTAATACTTACAGCTATATAGTACTGTCAAAGAGAAAAATAACTATGTATACCTATATCTTTACCCAAGCTTCCTTCTCTAGCATGCAGACTCACACCAGAAGCTTTAATCACAGCAGGTTGATGGTGCTGGAGACACTGAAGGATTACATTGATTGGTTGGTTGGCTGAACTACCTTTTTTTTTGAGGGGGGAGCGGCGGGGATGGACTCTCGCTCTGTCACCCAGGCTGGAGTGCAGTGACGCCATCTTGGCTCACTGCAACTTCTGCCTCCTGGGTTCAAGTGATTCTCCTACCTCAGCCTCCTGAGTAGCTAGGACTAGAGGCATGCGCCACCACACCCAGCTAATTTTTGTATTTTTAGTAGAGACAGGGATTTGCCATGTTGGTCAGGCTGGTCTCGAACTCCTGACCTCAGGTCATCTGCCCACCTCGGCCTCCCAAAGTGCTGGGATTACAGGCGATAGCCACTGCGCCGGGCATGGTTGAACTTCTTAATCATCTGAATCAAGAAGGTGATGCAGCCACACCTGATGTTCTAAAGAGTTTTCTTTCCTTGAACTCCTTGGCAGCCTACGTGTATTACAGTCCTCTCTGGATTGACATTTAAATATTGTGATCCCCTCACATTCTTTCCTGTAATTTCTTCTCACTCTAAGCCAGTGCTTCTCAAATTTTGGCCCAGGCCAGCTTAAAGCAATTAAATCAGAATCTCTGGCGATGGGTCTCAGGCATCAGGATATTTCTTAAGATCCCCATGTGATTCCAATGTGCCCTCAGAAAAAAAAACCATGACTGCTCTTTGATCCCTCCCTGAGATCTCACTCAATCACTTCAATTGCTATCTTTATGCCAGTGACTCCCAAGTCTGTATCTCCAGTTACCACTGCCTTTATCATTCAAAAATCGAAATACCAAAACACTACAGTAAGCCACAAAATAAAATGTTGCTTGCTTTTTAAATTAAAACAAAACTGAAAATTTTGTTGAAATTTAAATCACTTCTTCCTAGAGTGTTTGAATTTTCTTTCTTTTTTTTCTTTTTGAGATGGAGTCTCGCTGTGTCGCCCAGGCTGGAGTGCAGTGGCACAATCTCAGTTCACTGCAAGCTCCGCCTCCTGCATTCACACCATTCTCCTGCCTCAGCCTCCCGAGTAGCTGGGACTACAGGTGCCCGTCACCACGCCTGGCTAATTTTTTGTATTTTTAGTAGAGACAGGAGTTCACCATGTTAGCCAGGATGGTCTCGATCTCCTGACCTCATGATCCACCCACCTCAGCCTCCCAAAGTGCTAGGATTACCAGCGTGAGCCACCGCGCCTGACCAAATTTTCTCTCTTTTTGAGGGCTGAGCTGCCTGTGCTTTGTTGGTATCCTAAAGAGCAGATTAGACTGCTGACTGGGAAACTGAACTCATACAGAAGGATCTCCATTTGAAGCACCCATAGCACTAGAAAAATCAGTCTATAGGTAAAGTCATTACTCCCTCATTTCTCCAGACACAACCTACTCCTCCTCTCATCTTTCCTAATAACATCCTCCCAGTGGCTGAAGTAAAACACCTAAGAATCATCATCTACTCCTTCAACATTCACACTAATAATTATTGATTAAGCAATATCAATTATAACTCCTTAATAGATCTTGAACCTGTTTGCTGTCTCTTCATCCCCATAGCCACCATTTCCTTGCACCTAGAGTACTGTAACAGCCCCTTAACTGGTCTCCTGGCCCACAATCTTTGCTTGTTCCACACTATTGTCAAAATTTTATTAATATTTCTAAACACAAATGTCTTTGAGTACCTAAAACATTTCAGAGGCTCTCTCCTGCCCTTAGGATAGTGTTTGAATTTCATAACATGGTTTACAAAGCCCTTAGAAACCTCTCCAGTTATATTCACTGCTCCCTCTCATGCTAGTCCAATCCCTTCATCTCTGCCTCACCTGCCTTCAACAGAGATTTTACTTCTTCTAAGAAATCTCAAGTCTCCCACAACGGGGTTAGGAGTGCCTTCCACGCATGGCCATATCACAGTGCACTTACTCTGTTACTGCATCCATCACCACCTTCACTTTCTCTCTAGGTGCAAGTGAACTGCTTAGGGGCAGAGGCAATTGCTTGTTCTTCACTGTAGACCCAGCGCTTGGCACACTGTTGGTGCTCAGCATTTGTTGAAATCATGAATTAATAAATCAATGAATGAATTGTATTCCTTCTTCACAAATCTCAATGAAATTTGCATTAACCCTCTTCAAACAAAGGTAGAATAGAAGAAAAACAGTATTTTTAAAAAAAAATCTTAGGCTGGGTGCAGTGGCTCATGCCTGTTATCCCAACACTTTGGGAGGCCAAGGCGGGCGGGTCACTTGAAATCAGGAGTTCTAGACCAGCCTGGGCAACATGGCAAAACCCTGCCTCTACTAAAAATACAAAAATTAGCCAGGTGTGGTGGCGGGTGCCTGTAATCCCAGCTACTTGGGAGGCTGAGGCAGGAGAATCACTTGAACCTGGCAGGCGGAGGTTGCAGTGAGCCGAGATCGTGCCACTGCACTCCAGCCTGGGCGACAGAGTGAGACTCTGTCTCAAAAATAAAATCTTGCACACACATGCACAGCAGACTCATGGGCTATGCAGTGGGTAATAAAAGGCTGCAGGTCATTTCTCTAACATTTGTAAGTAGTTACCAATAAAATTGTCCATAATGAGCTTGTATTATGCAGAGACAACAGTCATCTAGTCATTTTAAATTTTAAAATATTAAAGTATAAAATCTGTCATTTTAATGTAAATAATAGCTACCATTTCCACTCTCCAACACTGTGCTAAGCAGTTGACACATGTTGTCTCATTTAATCTCCACAATCTAGCTCTAAAGTAGATCATATTACAACTTCTCAGGGGAAGAAATGAAGGTTCAGAAGGGTAAACACCTTACCTACAACAACACAGTTAGGACGTGAGAAAGGCAGTTTGACAATCGTTCTCTTTATACCCTTCCTTTGGGTGGGTGTTTCTCTACTCTTATATCATGGGGGTAAACAAGAGTTACCATGAAACTTGTACTGATATTGCCACGTCAGGTCCAGTCTT
This sequence comes from Homo sapiens, assembly GCF_000001405.40. Classification (NCBI taxonomy): domain Eukaryota; kingdom Metazoa; phylum Chordata; class Mammalia; order Primates; family Hominidae; genus Homo; species Homo sapiens. Next base: position 40,359,525 of record NC_000007.14, on the reverse strand, counting down.
ACTGTACTAAATGACAGAACAGGCCAGGCACAGTGGCTCACGCCTGTAATCCCAGCATTTTGGGAGGCCAAGATGGGCAGATTACCTGAGGTCAGGAGTTTGAGACCAGCCTGACCAACATGATGAAATCCTGTCGGTACTAAAAATATAAAAATCAGCCAGGTGTGGTGGCACATGTCTGTAATCCCAGCTACTCGGGAGGCTTAGACAGGAGAATGGCTTGAACCCAGGAGGCAGAGGTTGCAGTGAGCTGAGATAGCACTATTGCACTCCAGCCTAGGCAACAAGAGCAAAACTCTGTCTCAAAAATATACATACAACTCTGTCTCAAAAATATACATACATACATACATACATACATGTACATACATACATACATGACAGAACATAAAGCTAATGCTGCTGGAATAAGAAATGCCTCTGAGTTGATAAAACAGTCCATATCCAGGGAACAGCCCCATGCCAAAAGTGATGACTAAAAACTTGCCAAATTCTTTATTTGCATGCAATCTAAGTGAGTTTGTAAACATAGTGTAAAATGTATCTTTGGCTAACAATCATATTTCCCACAGTTACCTATGCCTGAGAGATATAACACATGCCTGGAAGTATACATAACTTGGGGGATGTTGTATAAATAGTCTAGCCTATTAAATAGTTAAAATATCCTAACATGGAGCTCATCCTCCTGGAAAATGCAATTGGCTACTAGCTTCTTTGGTTTTAAGTTCTTTCTTTGTCGAAAATTCTGTCATTTTCTATGAATAGTAGTGTTGTTGTTGTTGTTGTTGTTATTGTTGTTGTTGTTTTTGAGATGGAGTTTTGCTCTTGTTGCCCAGGCTGGAGTGCAGTGGCACAATTTCGGCTCACTACAACCTGTGCCTCACGGGTTCAAGCGATTCTCCTGCTTCAACCTTCCGAGTAGCTGGGATTACAGGCATGCACCACCACACCTGGCTAATTTTTTGTATTTTTAGTAGAGACAGGGTTTCACCATGTTGGCCAGGCTAGGCTCGAACTCCTGACCTCAGGTGATCCACTCATCTCGGCCTCCCAAAGTGTTGGCATTACAGGCATGAGCCACTGCGCCCGGCCCTCTGAATAACTTTTTAAAGCAATTTAGTTATAAAGAGCCTCATAGAAATAGCCTATAGAGAGTTGTGTTTGTCTACTATACTCCTCTCACATCTTAGTTACGCAAAATAATATGCTCTCCAGCTATTATTACTTAATAACCTGGCCATAATGATTCCCAGCTACTAAACACTTCATGCTTTTCAGGTATAACCTCTCCCTATTTTTGAATTCTCTCAGATTAAACAATTTATTTTTAACCCATCATCTTTAAGCTCCCACATATTGTGTAGGATAGACAGCATATCATTCATTCATTTCATTCATGGAACAGATCTTTTAGGTTTATTATGTGCCAGAAGTTTTCTATAATTGCCTTATTCAAAACTACTTATTGGGCATCTATGTGCTAAGGATTTAATGGGAAACAAAATAGCCAAGTCTCCTATTCTTATGTGCCAAGTCTTAAAGCAGGACCTATTTTTTGGTGTCTTTGACATTCTACTCATCATAGATCAATGATTCTCAACAGTAGGGGTCAGCAAACAACGCCATACTGGCCAAATTCAGCCTGCTGTCCATTTTTGGATGACCCACAAGCTAAGAATGTTCTTTACATGTTTAAATGGTTAAAAAAATCATTTTTAAATGGTTAAAAAAATCAAAAGAAGATTAAAAAAAAGAAAAAAGATTTTAAAAAGACAAAAAAGAAAAGAAAAAAGAAAAAAGATAAATTTTTAAAAATCAAAAGAAAAATATCTCATGATACATGAAAATTACATGCAATTGAAATGTCAGTGTTCATAACTGAAGTTTTATTGAAACACAGCCACATTCCTCTGTTTACATCTATGGCTACTTTTGCCCTACATCAGCAGAAGTGAGTAGTTGTGACCGAGACCACATGTCGCATTCTCATGCTTATTGCTTTGCACATCTTTTTGATGCACCACAAATCACAGCGACACAATCATAACTCAACAAAATCGACAGTGTCACGCATGTGGTAGGGTCACATTTTTTTAATCTTCCCAATGCATACCAATCATGTCAAAAGAAGAAAAGAGAAGACAAATGGACTTCATCATGCTAGATGTTGGCATACATTGGAAGATGAATTTTTTTAATTAAATTAGGTGACAAAGCATTTTGGTTATTATGTAATGACATTATAGCTGTGCTAAAGGGAGACAATAACTGCCAAATTGGGTACTGATCAAAATATTCCCAACTCATAGGAAAGCAATAGTCAGAAAAATTATAAAATTTAAAACACACTATCTTAAAACAGCAGAATTTCATCACAAAAATTAAAAAATAAAAATAAGACTGCAACCAAAGTAAGTTTCTGAGTGGTTCGTTTTTGAGCCAAGCAAAGAAAACCATTTACCAGTGATGAGTCATTTTAAATTGTGTCTGATTACAGCAGCTAAAGAAATGTGTCCAGAGAAAATAAATTTGTTTAGAAATATTAATCTTTCAGTAAAAACAGTTGTTCAAAGAGTTGAAGACATTGGAAGCAATATCAATAGTCAATTTGAAAATAAGGCAAATTATTTTGTGTGGTTTTCCTCAGCTTTTGATAAGCTAACAGATGTGATGGATACTGTTCAGTTGTTCTTTCAAGGAGTCAGTACTGATTTTGAAGAGGCTGAAGAATTAGTTTCTATGAATAGACTGCACAGAACAACTACAAACAAGTATTTTCAAAGAAACTAAGAAAACACTAATTCAAAACAACTTAAGCGGAATCTGCTAAAATGTGTTACAATTTAGAGTGGCAAAAAGTTATGTATGGAGCAGAGGGTGACTTGGACAAATTTACAGAGGAAGGTGTTCAGAGCCTATGGTTATTCATCGTATTATTCACCAGCAAGTACTTTTCAGAAAATATGTTTTGCTCTGATAGGCTTAGCCAGTTAGTCCTAGAAGTTTTCTCAGAAATAGAAGTTTAATATTCTGACTCACTCCACTCACTACACAGCACTTCCATGCCTGTAATAGGGATAAACTTAGGTGTGGTGTTTGAGCTCAGGATCATGAATGAAATTTTTCTGAGTAAGAAAATCTATCCTCAACCACTATCATTGAGCATTAAATAGCTTTGGAAATTGGCTTTTCCTGCGGATTTGACAATATGTTTAATGAATTCAATCTAAAATTTCAAGGCAAAACAGCATTTGCATGCAAAACTTTTATGACGGTAAAGTCATTTCGATGACAACTAATGTTGTTTGAATCACGAGTTATGCCAAGCTGTTTTATATACTTCCTGCGCTGTCAGAAGATAAAACAAAAAGTGAGATTTCCATTCCCACATGAATCTGGAGCAGATATATTTTCTGAACTCAAGCTACAACAGTGTTCTTCAGACCTTGATGCAAGTGCAAAGGAAATTTCCATATTTCAAAATCCATTTAACGGAGCAACTGAGGAATTTCCACCTAACTTTCAATTGGAAGTGATTAATCTGCAATGTAATGACATGTAAAAGGAAAATATCAAGAGAAAAGTCTAATAAATTCTAGAAATGCCTTCCAGGCAATGAACATGCTCAATTTAAATCATATGCTGTGGATTGATATAACTACTTGGCAGCACCTTTCTGCGTGAAAAGACATTTTCAAAGATGAAATATGTAAATTCTTATTACAGATCAGCATTAAGAGACAAACATTTGAAATCAATTCTAATGATAGGGAACACTAATTTTACACCTGAATGAAGTGAAATATAATCCTCCCAAAAAAAGAATTCCATTCTTCTCATTAGTAAATCTGTCTTATAAATAATACTAAATTATTTTATATTCTTTAATTTAATCACTTAAAATTTTGTGAGATGTTTTCCTCTCTTATTGCATAAATATTTGCATAATATCCTCAGTTTTGCCTCTTGGCCTGCAAAGCCTAAATTCTTGACTATATGGCTGCTTACCAAAAAAGTCTGCCAACTCCTGCTCAAAAGGGTTGGTTGTAAAAGGGAACATCTCACAGTCTCTAAGGAGCATATATGGTTAATATTGCCCAAAAGGTTACAAAGGTTACCTACAGGTTACAAAACATAATAGTAAGAAATTGTCATAGGTTTTGATTGACATAAATGTCTGAAAGATGAATGAGATATGATGAACCTCCTAAGTCAATTATAAAAAGATTCTGACAAGTTTATGACATTAGGAATGATAAACCAAAACATACAAAGGGAGTGGACACCTAACCCACTGGGGCTCACAGCCTTTGAAAACACTCCAGTGTCCTTCCCATGGCTCAAGAATCCAGGAATTTCAAGTGACCACTATCAGTAACGAAGAGGAGGTTGGCAGAATCTGGTGGCCTAGAGATTAGAGTCCTTCCCAGTTCATCTGGTCACCCTGCAAATCTCCTGGAGTTTTATGGAACTCTATGGAGAAGGCAGGAGCCAAACTAATGACTGAGGTACGATTTCCCAATACGAGGTAAAGGCTCAGAATGAAATCTGAGTCAATGTAAGAAAAAAAAAATTGCATATGCATTTGTGGACAAGAGTCATAATTGCTACATGATAGGGTCAACCTCATAATAATGTGTAGACTGAAATTATGTAAACTATTTAGCCAAGTGCTTGGCACCAAAAGTATTAACTATTATTATTGTTATGTATCCAGCCTCATCTCCTGCTACTACTTTGCTTTCACATTTCCTGCTTCCTATACTCCTCATTATTCCCACAGTTGCCAATCTTTGGCATTTCTGTGCATTAGCACATAATATTCATTCTCTCTGGAATTGCATTCCACTCTGATCTCCTGGTTATTTTATTTTATACCCCTAAACTCCATCTATCCTCAGCCTTCTCTACTTTATTCAGTGCTCTTGACAGTGACCGCACAAACTGCAATACCCAGCCAACTTTTCATTAGATTTCACCTCTGGGAAGAAAAAGAGATAGAAGAATTTCTTTGTGGCTCCCTCTCATGTGGGCACTGTATCTCAAGAAGCAGCCAGGTAGGTCCTTCCATGACCACAGCTTTAACCAGGTGGCCTCTCCTCCACAGTTCCCTTACTGGCTCCAGGAAGTACATTTCCTTCTTGTCCCTTTGGCTGTATGGCGAGGTGACAGATCCCTGCTTTTCCCACCTCTCCGTCCATCCCTCCTTTGCCCTCTGCCCACACTGTTGTATGTAATACCTCAATCTGAACTATCAGCACTGAATTCTGTATTCTACTGCCCCGCAACCAATAAATCCACCTCACAAATTCTTATTTAGCCTTCTGCATGTCTTTGAAGCCTTATTTAACAATACTCTTCCCCTGGTTAAGCCAGAAACTCCCTTCCACCTTACACAGTGTGAAAAGAAGGGAGGGAAGAAGAAAAATAATTATAAATGTGTTCATTTATTACTTGTTGCGGGGGGAGGCAAAACAGAATTGGAAAATAGCCTAAACTAATACATCTATCTATTAAAAAGGCTACTTCCCGGTCTCTTGTCTGTTTTTCTCAATGTTGCACTTTTTCTTTAAAATTCTTTCTCAGACTCTCAAACCAAATGCCATAAAAATGAAAGCAGAAAATAATGATAGTTACCAGATGAACTGCTACAGGAGCCTGAAACAAACCCAGTATATCCAATTTTATCAGAAGTAAGTGACAAGTGGAAAAAAAAGTTGATGAAAAAATTCAGACACATTTAAGTTTGATGTTGATGAAACTGATGATACTTGTCATATTTTCGGTACTTAAGATGGTGTAATATTAAGACTAATTGATAGAAAATCTCAACTTGCATATCTATATGGTTTTTTTAAGAACCCAACTCCATCAGCAAAAAATAACACCATAATGACCCTAAAATGAGATGTAAAGCACAGAAAATGGTATTAGTTTTGCTTCAACACTAAAATTATCTTTATTAAAAGACAAATTATCTTCAACGTGAAAGGTATTTACTGTGAGAATAAATATTTAAACCCAATTTCGGAAAACTGATTTAGTTGTTTTTGTTTGTTTGCATATTTTAACCCCTTAATCAGGTACCCTTCAACTTCAATATGTACACACATTATCTGAGGATCCTGTTAAAATGTGAACTCTGATTCATTAGGTCCAAGATGGGACCTAAGATTCTACAGTAATATGAAGCTCCTGGGTGAGATCTATGCTGCTGGTCTATGAGTACCCTTTGCGTATTTAGACTAATCCTTTTGGGGAAAAAAAGTCTGTTCCTGCTCTTCTAGTCTTATTTTTTAAATAGTTCTCAAACCTTAGCAGTACCAGTCACCCGAAAACTTGGTGAAACACAGATTGTTGTTGCATCCTGTATCTTGACTTTAGTGATAGTAGACATCTGAAAACAACCCCATTAAAAAGTGGGCAAAGGACACAGACACTTTTCAAAAGAAGACACGTGTGGCCAACAAGCATATGAAAAAGTGCTAAACATCACTAATCATTAGAGAAATGTAAATCAAAACCACAATGAGTTACCATCTCACACCAGTCAGAATGCCTATTATTAAAAAGTCAAAAAATAACAGATGTTGACAAAGTTGTAGAGAAAAGGGAACACTTATACTGTTGATGAGAATGCAAATTAGTTCAGATAGGGTGGAAAGCAGTTTGGCAATTTCTCAAAGAACACAAAACAGAAATACCATTCCACCCAGCAATCACACTATTAGGTGTACACCCAAAGGAATACATACGTCATTCTACCATAAAGACACACGCACGCGTATGTTCATCGCATTACTCACAATAACAAAAACATGGGATCAACCTAAATGCCCATCAATGGTAGACTGGATAAAGCATGGAATATTTCACAGCCATAAAAAAGAATGAATCATGTATTTATGGAACTGCAGACCATTATCTGAAGCAAACTAACACAGAAAGAGAAAACCAAACACCGCCATGTTCTTACTTACATGTGGGAGCTAAACACTGAGCACATATGGATACAAGAAAGGCAACAACAGACACCAGGGCCTACTTGAGAGTAGAGGGAAGGAGGAGGGAGAGGATTGAAAAAATACCTATTGGGTACCTGGGTGGTGAAATACTCTGTACTCCAAACTCCAGTGACACACAACTTACCTATATAACAAACCTGCACATGTACCACTGAATCTAAAATAAAACATTAAAAAAAATAGATTGTAGTGCTCACCTTGGCAGCACATATACTAAAAAAAATTGTATAGAAGTAAATATACACACACAAACACACAAATGCATGCAAAACTGGTGAAAATGGATCTCTATTATTTCTTCCAATTACATGTGAATCCACAATTATCTCAGAACAAAAAATTCTTTTGAAAAAAAGCAGACAGATCGAGATGTGGTCTGATAATTTACATTTCATTACATCTCAAGTTCTCACGTGATGCAGCAAATCTGGGGATCACATTTTGAAAACCACTGATGCAAAATAATAGCTTTCTACCATGGGTGCATAACAGAAGCTTCTTCAAAACTCTTAATGCCCAGCAACACCAAAGAACAATTAAATATTAATTTCTGGAGGTGAAACTTGGACATTAACTTTGCATTAAAAGCTTCTCAGGTAATTCTAATGTGCAGCTAGGGTTGAGAAGCACTAATCTAAAATTTAAACTCTTCTCTGTTTCTTCAACAATAATCCACATATATCATTTGAGAAAGCCATACAAGAGTAGCAAATTTTCCACAGATTAAAAAATGAAGACAAAAACATAGATAAGTTGGCAAAGTTGCCATTAAATACAACAGTTTTTAACCAAACTCTAAATGTGATGTCAGCTAGTCATTGAAGAGTGCTTATAAATGTTTTATTGACAAAATTAAGCTTTACTCATTCTAGAGATTTTCTAAAAACATTATGTGGAACTCTGATCACAGTTATTACCTAACCCAAAAAGGTATTATGTGAATTAATGGGATAATGCTTATAAAGGCCTTGAAAATCTTATAAGAGTAGTGAAAACAATACAATCACACTATTATAAGTACATTTTGCTAAATTCCTAAATAAATAATCCACTCAAGGAATTAGGAAGTTTGTTTTATTAAAAAGAGAAAAAATAAAAATATAAAATAATTTAATGTGAAATCATAAAAATTCATCCAGAAGAGATCCATTTTTAGATTTTAAGATGGTAAATACTTTTAAAGCAGAAACACAATAAAAGAGGTCATGAAAGAAAAATTATTAACTTTGATACTTAAACATAATATTAGACACAGTGAAAACAGAAATAAAATTAAAACACAAACTGAGAAAGACTAGTCAAAACAAATATGAGTTGGGCATAATGTTATCAACCTACAAAGAGTTCTTAAGAAGGCTTACACAGCAATAAAGAACATATACACAACTCATTATATATAAATATTTAAGAAATTAGAAAAAACATTCAAAATCATTAAGAACCAACCCAAATGCCCATCAATGATAGACAGGATAAAGAAAATATGGCACATATACACCATGGAATACTTTGCAGCCATAAAAAAGGATGGGTTCATGTCCTTTGCTGGGACATGGATGAAACTGGAACCCATCATTCTCCGCAAACTAACACAAGAACAGAAAAACAAACACCGCATGTTCTCACTCCTAAGGGGGAGTTGAACAATGAAAACACATGGACACAGGGAGGGGAACATCACATACTGGGGCCTGTCGGGGGGGTTGCGGGGGAGGGAAAGCATTAGGAGAAATACCTAATGTAGATGACGGGTTGATGGGTGCAGCAAACCACCACGGCACCTGTATACCTATGTAACAAACCTACACATTCTGCATATGTACCCCAGAACTTAAAGTATAATTTTTTTAAAAATCTAAATATAATAGGCCAGGCACGGTGGCTCATGCCTCTAATCCCAACATTTTGGGGGGCCAAGGTGGGTGGATCACTTAAAGTCAAGAGTTCAAGACCAGCCTGACCAACATGGTGAAACCCTGACTCTACTAAGAAAAAAAAAGAAGAAAAAAAAAAAAAATTAGCCAGGTGTGGCGGTGGTCACCTGTAGTTCCAGCTACTTGGGAGGCTGAGGCAGAAAAATCGCTTGAACCTGGGAGGCAGAGGCTGCAGTGAACTGAGATCGTGCCACCGCACTCCTGCCTGGGCAACAGAGTGAGACTCTCTTAAAAATAAATAAATAAATAAATAAATAAATAAATAAATAAATAAATAAATAAATAAGATATAGTAATGAGTATGATTCACTTACAAAACAGGAAAAGTTTTAAAAATCAAATTGTAATAAGTACAAAGATGACATAAAAAGTATTATCTTTAATATTAAAATTGACATATATCAATTATATGAAATTATTTTAAAAAGAACAATATTAGAATAAAGGATATTATAGCAGAAATGCTACAGATTTTCTGCTAGGTATATTCTAAATGAACCAAAATAAATGAAATCACCAGAGGTCCACTGATAACTCATACAGGTAAAAAATCTATGTTGACAAAAATATAGGAAAAGCTGGGTGCAGTGGCTCACACCTGTAATCCCAGCACTTTGGGAAGCCGAGGCAGGAGGATTGTTTGAGCTCAAAAGTTCAAGACCAGACTGAACAATGTAGCATTAGTAGAGCACCCTCATCTCTACTAAAAATATTAATAAAAACCAATCACCTGGGTGTGGTGGTATGCCTTTAGTCCTGGCTACTCAGGAGGCTGAAGTAAAAGGGTCACTTAAGCCCGAGAGATAGAGACTGCTGTGAGCCATGATCGTGCCACTGCACTACAGCCTGGGCAACAGAGTGAAACCCTGCCTCCAAAAAAAACCATATAAGAAGAACTTCTTAGAGGAATGAGTGATGGTATACCAGGTGAGGAGCAAGCGGCAAAACCTCTATTTTGTAACTGAGAATAAGTAGTTGAACACAGGGATCTTAGAGAGGGCCCCAGAATTTGTGCACTGACAACACCAAGTAGGAAACAGAATGACAAAGACTAGACTCAACTATCCAGACAAAAGACCAGTTTGTACTAGGAAATAAGGACTATTATAGTGTCAAGTGTAAAAAGTTAGTCACTGAAGTTGAGCTGAGATTGAGCCACTGCACTCCAGCCTGGGCAACAGAGCCAAGACTCTGTTACAAAAAAAGACAAAAAGGAAAGTAAGTTAGTCACTGAAGCAATGGCCAAATCAAATGTATCAAAAGGGAAGGAAAAATCAAGAGACATAGTTCCCCTGATGAGCCTGCACACTCCTGTAAAGCTTTCTGAATCTAAATTTGTATCAATGAGTATTTCACATTAAGATTTAAGAGAAGCACTTTGAACAGCAACCAAATAGTGATGAGTATTAAAGACAAGCAAAGCTATTATTACTTACCATTGTTTGCCAGCAAACATCAGCCAATATACGTGAGAACTCATTCAGTGAGGATATACAGAAGGAGGGTGGAAAAGACCTATAGAAATATCCCACAATATAAAAGAAAGAGAACAGAGTCCTCCAGGTGCAGCAAAAAAACAAGAATTTCAAAACCATCTATGTAGGGAAAGAAGCAAATTATAAAAAGTGTCTGCTTATCCACTCAAAACAACTCAGGGAAATATGTTCTTCCTTAAATATGAAATCAAACATGAGATTATGAAACAACAGCACTAACTGAGAAGTCAAAAGAAATTACAATAGAGATAGACAAGAATACGATGGATTTCAAGGGTAAAAGAGTAAAATTCAGCATTACAGAAAATGGGGTAAGTTATATGCAGGACAAATCTAAAAACTTCTTCCAGAATGAGGAAGAAGAAAAGGAGCAAAAATAACATTGATGAGGCATAATAAATATGAAAGGATGAAAGGACAGACAGAGACCTAAAATAAAGATGCCTAACTCAAACTAACCCAAACAAAAAAGGTGGGGGAGTGGAGAGGTTGTGAGTCAAGTGTATTGGCTCACAGACTTGATGAGTTCAAAGGTACTCCAGCTCCTGTCATGGATGGATCCAGAAAATCAGCTGAGATCATATGCCTATGCCCACACCAATCATCTGACCCTAGGAAGGACTGGATTCTAACGGGACTCATTCACAAGACCTGCTTGGCATAGACGGTCAGAGGTGTTAGCCCAAGCTGCACCATTTTGTAAACCCTTACCATTTCACAGACCCTGGTCAGAGCAGAAAATTCCACTAGAGCTCCGGCCATGAGAAATATCCTGCCGGACAAGTGCCAGGTCTAACCACCTGACTGCAAGAAATTCCTCCTTTATCAGCAGCTAACCACACCGCCCACCCCAGTTTGCAACAAGCCCAGACCTCTCCCGCCTGGACCTATAATTACCCCAGTCTGTAAGTGGGGGTGGGCTCCAGCGCTAGCTGCTGTCTCCCCGCAACCCCCGTGCAGGACTTCATTCAATAAACCTGTGTTGCTGTTGAGCCACCAGCTCTCTCTTTTACCCTTGCCTTCCCCTCAAAACCTTACAAGGGGTAGGGTCATTCCCATCCCTTGAAACACATGTACCAAGTGATATGCTTATAAAATGGAGGAGGGAAAAGTACCTCCCAAGAAAAGAATGCTAGGCAGACATAATTTTTACATTCACTCTAGTAAATTACATACTAATTTATGGAATGCAAGTAACAACATGAGTAACTAGAACAACGAAATATCATAAATGATCTGAACAGATTTTCAAGAGGTGTTTGTATATGTCTATCACAATATCCTGCAGTGCAATATATATGGTGTGTAAGTTGATTAATAAAGCTAGCAAATTGATTCACAGTGGGATCAACAGCTATAACTAAACTATGTTGATTAATGGAAAGATGGCACATAAACTAGAGGTTGGAAATAAGTCACTATAACACTGGCCTCTTCTGAACGTGCTTTCTCATTTTTTGATTAGGGACAGAATGAGAATTTTTCAAATCTCTAACTCTAGTATCTTTGTGCTTAACAATTTTTCTTCAATTCATCTATCTTATCTCCCATTTTACTATAAGCATTCAGGAGGACATGGGCCACACTTTGAACATTTTGTTTTGACATCTCTCAAGCTAAATAACCAGTTTCATGTCTTGCAAGTTCTGTCTTAAAAACAAACAAACAAACAAAAACACTAGAAGACAACTCAGCCAAGTTATCTGCCACTTTATAACAAGGGTTGCCTTTTCTCCACTTGCCAATAACCTGTTCCTCATTTCCTTGTGAGGCCTCACCACAATGGATTTTACATTCCACCAACATTCAGTTCGAGATTATCTATGTATTCTCTAAGAAAATGAAGGCATAATCTCCAGCTCTCCTCATTCTTTCTGAGCCTTCAGCAGAAGTGCCTTTAATGTCCATACTTCTACCAACAATTGCTTCATGGCAATCTTGGCTTTCTCTGTCATGCACCTCAAACTCTTCCAGCCTCTACCCATCAACCAGTTCCAAAGCCACTTCCAGATGTTTAGGTATTTGTTACAGCAACACTCTGCTTCTCAGTACCATAATCTGTGTTAGTGTACTTGGGCTGCTGTAACAAAATACCATAGACTGGGTGCTTTTGAAAACAGAAATTTATTTCTCATAGTTCTGAAGGTTCAAGTCCGAGAATCGCGTTCCAGCTGATTGGCAAATGGTGAGGGCATTTTTCCAGGCTGCCATCTCACTGTCCCTAAATGGCCTTTCCTCAGTAAATGTACAAGGAGAAAGAGAGAACTCTCTAGTGTCTCTTCTTGGAAGAACACTAATCCTATCAGATTAGGGCTCCACCCTCATGACGTCATTTAACCATAATTACTTCCTTAGAAACCCATCTCCAAATACAGGCTACAGTATGTGAATTTTGGGGGACACATATAGCTCGTAACAACAGTGTGTGTGTATGTCTGCAAACATATATTTATGTTTATAAAGTTCTAAGTTCAGCCAATAAGGTAGATGTTATGTTATTGTCATTTTAACAATTGAGGACCTAAGGCACAGAAAAGTTATATAACTTTCTTAAGATCACACAACCAGAAAACTGTGAAGGCTAGATTCAAACCCAGATAATGTGGCTACAGAGTCTGTACCTATATTCCCTATCCTGTTGTAATTTTCTCTCTGTTAGGAATGAAAAGAAAATAATAATGAATATAATAGACTTTTTTTAGTTATGGAAGAAAACTTTATGAAAAAGAAAAAACTATGAAAAATTTAAATACATAGATTAAATACATTCATAGATTAAGTGGGCAAATTTCTAGAAAAACACAGTCAATAAAATTGACTTAGAAATGGAAAGCCTGTATAATTTTTAAACTTGAAAATAAATAGACGTATAATTTAAAATCTATCCATTCAAAACCCACTAGGCCTATACAGTTTAACAGATTATCTCTACCAAGCTTTTAATATACAGATAATTTCAATCTTCTAGAGAATAGAAAAGGGATGGTTATTCTCCATCTCATTTTATAAAACTAAACTAACATGAAAACCAGAGTTTAAGTCTTTGGTGCACCAAACTCTCAGAAACAACCACTAAAGAACTCTACATGTACAAAAAATTAATATAAAAAAAAACAAAAACAAACAAGAACAATATAGGAAAAGAAAGATCTGAGCCAGTTTCTTTTTCAAAATAGATGTAAAAGTCCTATATAAAATGATAGGAAAAAATGAATCTACAAACATGTAAAAACAATACATTATAACTAATAGGTAATCCTTGGAATGGAAAGACAATGTAATATTAGAAAACCTAGTGATATAATTTACTTTCTATCAATATCAGGCAAAATTGAATATATACATACCTATGATGCAGCAATTCTACTCTCAGATATAGATTTCAGATCATTTAAGACAAATGAATTAAAAAAACACAACCTTACAAAAATAAAAATTGCAAAACAACCTAAAAATCATTCAACAGGTGAATGGCAAACAAATGGTGCCATACTGAATGAATGGAATAATGTGAAGCATAACAAAGAATGTATTAGAACTATACATATGAACATACATAAAAGTCATAAAAATGAAATTCATAAAAACTCAAAAAATTGAAAGAAATAAAAGCATTTTTCAGACTGATGTTTCAGTATGGCACTATATAAGTCAAGTTTAAAAACATACAAAATGATACCATGTATTGTTTAAAGGTATACATATATGTAATACAAGAATAAAAATATTTGTGACATTGACAACACCAGATTTAGGACAGTGTTTATCCCTCCGTAGGGGAGGAAAGGGACTGAGAGGTCATCTGGATACATTCTTCCCTCCATACCTTATACACTCAAACCCTCTGACTGGAATGCTCAAGCACTCTTTCCCTTTTCCCTTTTTTCCTCTCAAACTTCTATTCTCCCTTCAAGATTTAGATCAAATTTTACTTCTTATGCTCATCTGGGCTCCCAGAGTTCTCTGTAGAAACCACAATTAAAGCTGCTAATTATTTGTATATGGTAATATTCTGTTCTTGATTGTGGCTCCTTATATGAACTCTGGGGGACCCCACATAAAGGAATTCCATTAAATTTAGCAAGTACCTATGGAGAATCGAATACTATGTGCCTAATCCTTGGCTGAATGCTGAGTTGCTAAACACTTTATACGGTTCCTGCTTTCAAAAACGTTACATTTTTTTAAAAATCACAAAATTTAATATACATAAAACTACTGAAGAACTATACAATCAATCAAATGCTAGTATGTGTTACATAAAGAGGAAAGGGAAATTTTTCAAAATCATAAAAGTAGAATTCAAGCAAAATCTCTGAGGAGGAAAAAGCCCAAGAAGGGATACAGAGTGATGTTTTTGGGGTCTTTGAAGATACTCTAAAGCATGGGTCAGCAAACTTTTTCTGTAAATGGTTCATGATAAATATGTTCAGCTTTGCAGGTCATACAATCTCTGTTGCAACTGCTCAACTCCGTTATTTTAGCACAAAAGCAGCTAGACAATATATAATCAAGTGAGTATGCCTGTGGTTAAATAAAACTTTATTTATGGACTTTTAAATTTGAATTTCACGTGTCAAAAACTTTTATTCTTCATTTGATTTTTTTCAGCCATTTAAAAGTGAGAAAACTATTCGTAGCTCATGGGTCACATAAAATCAGCACAGATCCATGGGCCCTAGTTTGCCCACCCCTGCAATATCGAAAATGAAATAAATAAGCCCAAGGATAGGATCGGTAGTAAAAGCTGATAATGAAGCTACACAATGCAAGGTCAAGATGGGTCTGGATGTTAAGAGTCTTAAAAATACCACGATAAAATAAACATACTAATAAATAATGCTAACAAAAATATTACTAAGGCATCGTTCTATGAACTCATGTGGTTGGAAACACATCCTAAGCTGCCAATTTAAATCCATAATTTCACAAGTTTCAGCAAGGAAGAAATAGAATAAAATGGCACCATGGAACCCAGCATGTACCTCACCATCTGGAGCCAACACAGTTACCTAGGGAATACAAAAGTATGTTGAATATCCAATACGCAACCTCCTGGGAACAGGTCTAAGGTTTGCATGGAAGGCAGTGAGGAAAAGCAGATAAGAGTTTCAACTAATATGGTGACTCACGCCTGTAATCCCAGCACTTTGGGAGGCCGAGGCGGGCAGATCACGAGGTCAGGAGATCGAGACCATCCTGGCTAACACAGTGAAACCCTGTCTCTACTAAAAATACAAAAAATTAGCCAGGCGTGGTGGCGGGTGCCTGTAGTCCCAGCTACTCAGGAGGCTGAGGCAGGAGAATGGCGTGAACCCGGGAGGCGGAGCTTGCAATGAGCCGAGATTGCGCCACTGCACTCCAGCCTGGGCGACAGAGCGAGACTCCATCTCAAAAAAAAATAATAATAAAATAAAAATAAAGAGTTTCAACTAATAAAAATGTTCAGAGGAAGAGAAGGGGTAGAGGAGTGAGAAAGAAAAAATAATTGTTTTCAAGTTTGGAGATCGGCCAAAGGATTCTGTTCTTGGTGGAGTTTTGAGGAAATGCCATCTATAGAGATATCTAGGGTTCGTTTTTCTTATTTTTTCCTAAAACGGTCCATAACTGAAACACCAGATATAGTTTCAATGGGATTTCTGTTTCCTCAGCCTTACAAAGACCTGCGTTCAAGTTCCAAGTCTGATTAATTTGTTCTATAAACTTGGCCAGCACATGCTATGAGGTGATATGCTGGTAATTATTTTTAAATACATATCAGAAATTATTAGCATGGCATTAACATTATATAAGTAATTATAATAGTTTTGAGTTAATGAGTTAATAATAATTTCTAATAACTATAACAATAATAACCCCAGGAATAAACAGATAAATTAGGATGACATTTTAAGATAAAGCTATCGGTGGAAGGCTGATAGAGAGGTGTGTATAAGAGTATGACTATGGAACTTCCTCCAGAGCATAGCCTTCAGATTATTTTTTTTAAAGTCATGCAAAGTTCACCAACAGTCATTACTTCACATAGAAACCTTCTTATATGCCATGTGTCTAAAAACAGAAAAATATTCAAGACCAGGTTTATTTCAAGCTGAGGAAGACCAACTTCTAAGATATTGGAGACAAGCCAGACGCAGTGGCCCATGCCTGTAATCCCAGCACTTTGGGAGGCCAAGGCAAGCGGATCACTTGAGGTCAGGAGTTCAAGACCTGCCTGACCAACATGGTGAAACCCCATCTCTACTAAAAATACAAAAATTAGCCAGGCATGGGGGCAGGCGCCTGTAATCCCAGCTACTTGGGAGGCTGAGGCAGGATAATATCTTGAACCTGGGAGACAGAGGTTGCAGTGAGTCAAGATCACGCCACTGCACTCCAGCCTAGGCAACAGAGCAAGACTCTGCCTCAAAAAAAAAAAAAGTACACGTTTAGAAATTTGACAGAGTAATTTTAGGATATTGGAGCCTTCAATTAACTTCTAATATGCTGGAAATGGAAAATGTCAACATTGATAACAGATATTTCCTTAAAGACTCAAAAATGAAATACCAAGTATTCTATGCACTTTCCACAGAGCCCCCTACTCTAAATTAATCAACATTTAATCATACGAACTAAACAGGGGTGTGTAGCTTTGCCTGGAGGAAATATTATGGTTGATTACTCTATTGAAAGATCAGAGTTCACAAACTGGTAATTTGTCTCTCATTTGCTTTTCTGAGCTTTGATTTTTCCTATATATTGCTCATACTTATCCATAAGAAAGAGGTTTCTGAGTAATCTCTCAAGTCCCCTTTCGTCCCTGTATTCTGTTGTTCTATGAATTACAGAAAGTTAGCTTTCTACTAGGTCACTAATGACAATTAGAGAGGTTCAAAAATCAAGTTGTCTCCCTTTGGCTGAGTTGGAGAGAAGATGGATCAGTATCTGCCATAGACTTTCTCAGGGGCTTCCCCTGCCAGGTGAGAGATTGATTAATTTCCTCCAACTAGGAGGATGACTTCATCATGGCCATTCTGAGATGCTGTATTCAAGACTTGACATGTACCACTGCACCACATGTGCAGGCACATTCACATGTATTTAATTTGGTCCTCAGAACATCCCTTTAAGGACTGAGTCAGGATCTGAAACCAGGTCCTTATCATACCCCATTCTTTTTTTTTAATATTTGCCCATCAAAACCAAAAGAATGCACAGGCACAATGGTTTTGCTTCAACTGTACTTTTGTTTTCAGAACCTTCCAGCATTCTGCTGGCCAACTCAGAAGGATGCATCTTTAATGCCTCTGAACTCCTTTCCTGGTTCCTAAATGAAACCAGGTTTCTAACTAATTCACAGCCCACAATTTTACAAGTTTAGTGTAGTTTCTTTTTCCCTAAATAGGTAGCACTTCTCACAGTACTGGATCCTCCCCGCCACTTTCTTGTCCATTTATGCCATCTTTCAAAAGCTTATTCCAGTTGATTTATAATTTTACTGGCCAAAAGAGCTTAAATCCTGTACCTTTAGAAACTTCATTGTGTGCCTGCCCTTTCAGATTATCTATAAACATGTTTAATAAAGAGGCCCAGCAGAAATCCCAAGAGGGACCTCACTGTTTACACATCTCCCTCAACAGCAGGCGCATACATTCTACACTTTTTTTTTCTCTATTAATACCTACCTGTGGTGAAATTTCCCTCCTAATACCATGGTAACACAATTTGGAATAGCATTGTGAAACTTTTTGACTCCTTGAAAGTCTAAACAAATTGTTTCTTGCTTTTTTCCTGGTGCTTGTTTACCCTTTCAAATAGCTCAAGTATATTATAAAAAACAGGATGCTTTTCTCCATTCATTATACAAAATGGTCAATGATCCTACAATTTCTGGAGTTTACTAATATGAATGAGATTCAACAGTCAATAGATTGTAGGGTCTCCTCAGTAGGTTTCATTAGAATGTAAACAAGAATTCACTAATACTGAAGAGTGAGTGCAATAACTTATTTCACATTTAGATCCATTTATTCCCTTGAGTTTCTTCAGACCCTCATAATGGATGTCATAAAGTTTCAGCAATTTACTTATATCCATCAGGCCAATCAGGCAGAACATCCTGTTCCCTTATCACTATTTGATCTAATACTACATACCTCACCTCTTTGCTTCAAAAGACATGATGACAGTGGAAAGTTCTACATTTCAACAAAGACCAAAGTGAAGAATTCATTGAGTTTCCAGATCTCCTTTTTTCCCCGTGAGCACCCTGATCATCAAGCAGTCTCATTGATTCTCCAGTCGACCTTCTATCTTTCATGTATAAAAACGCTTTTATTTCTGAATTGCAGTCCTTTTTGTGCTGTGTCTTGAATTCCTTTATAGCCGGACTGGCTCCTTATTTACACCTGACCTGTCACACTTTGAGGTCTTCCCTGTTCTCACTTGAACAATCTTTTGCCTACTTTTTCCCCCTACTTTTGCTTCTTTTACTTTATGAAATGGATGCAAAAGTCTTTATATGAGCTCCTAATCTTTGATATGACGTATTCCCCTGCCCTTCTATTAATGTATTTAAAGCATTTCCAGATTTCTTACAAGTTACAGACTTTTAAAAATATTACTTTCATTTTTTAACTTAATGCACACGTTGATTTGATCATAGTTCCATTCTCTTAAATTGAGGAATAATGTGATAGGGTTTTTTTTTTATTTTTGGCCTTTATTTCCCTTTAGAAGGTTAAGTGAAATTGAGTTGTGAGCCTTATTACAATAATCACAGATTATTTCCTGTACCAATCCCTGCACAGTCCTAGGCCCAAGTCCAGTATAATTCCATTCCTTATGTAATTCTAACACTTCTTGCCCTATGTGGCAGATACTTATGCACAATCTTTTTTCAGTTGTATAGTGTGATTTCTCTCATACTACTTACTACTATTTGTTCTAATTTTCCAGTGTTCCCAATGTAATTTCACTATCCTTACCATATTGAGTTGGTTTCTGGCAGATAATCTTAACCTAGGGTCCAGGAATGAGTTCTAGGAAGTCTAAGAAGCTCCTGATATCCCAGGCAAAAATCATGCATGTATATCAATATGTGTACTTTTCTAAGAAAGGCTTTCATAGATTTCATCAGTTCCTCAAAAGAATTACAGGCAACAAGAAAGTTTAAGAGCCACTGGGCAAAAAAGGGCGGTTCCAAGATGGCCAAAGAGCAACAGCTCCAGTCTACAGCTCCCAGCGTAAGTGATGCAGAAGACGGGTGATTTCTGCATTTCCAACTGAGGTACCAGGTTCATCTCACTGGGACTTGTTGGACAGTGAGTGCAGGACAGTGGGTGCAGCCCACCCAGCGTGAGCCAAGGCAAGGTGAAGCATCACCTCACCCAGGAAGCGCAAGGGGTCAGGGAATACCCTTTCCTAGCCAAGCGAAGCTGTGACAGATGGCACCTGGAAAATCGGGTCACTCCCACCCTAATACTGCACTTCTCCAATGGTCTTAGCAAACGGCACACCAGGAGATTATATCCCACACCTGGCTCAGAGGGTCCCACGCCCATGGAGCCTCACTCATTGCTAGCACAGCGGTCTGAGATCAAACTGCAAGATGGCAGTGAGGCTAGGAGAGGGGCGCCCACCATTGCTGAGGCTTGAGTAGGTAAACAAAGCGGCCAGGAAGCTCGAACCAGGTGGAGCCCACCGCAGCTCAAGGAGGCCTGCCTGCCTCTGTAGACTCCACCTCTGGGGGCAGGGCATAGCCAAACAAAAGGCAGAGAAACCCCTGCAGACTTAAATGTCCCTGTCTGACAGCTTTGAAGAGAACAGTGGTTCTCCCAACACAGAGTTTGAGAACTGAGAACGCTAAGACTGCCTCCTCAAGTGTGCCCCTGATCCCTGAGTAGCCTAACTGGGAGGTACCCCCCAGTAGGGGCAGACTGACACCTCACACGGCTGGGTACCCCTCTGAGACAAAGCTTCCAGAGGAACAATCAGGCAGTAACATTTGCTGTTCAGCAATGTTCACTGTTCTGTAGCCTCCACTGCTGATACCCAGGCAAGCAGGGTCTGGAGTGGACCTCTAGCAAACTCCAACAGACCTGCAGCTGAGGATCCTGACTGTTAGAAGGAAAACTAACAAACAGAAAGGACATCCACACCAAAAACCCATATGTACATCATCATCATCAAAGACCAAAGGTAGATAAAACCACAAAGATGGGGAAAAAACAGGGCAGAAAAACTGAAAATTCTAAAACTCCAAGCACCCCTCCCCTACAAAGGAATGCAGCTCCTTGCCAGCAATGGAACAAAGCTGAATGGAGAATGACTTTGACGAGTTGAGAGGAGAAGGCTTCAGACGATCAAACTTCTCCAAGCTAAAGCAGAAAGTTCAAACCCATCGCAAAGAAGATAAAAACCTTGAAAAAAGATAAGACGAATGGCTAACTAGAATAACCAGTGTAGAGAAGACCTTAAATGACCTGATGGAGCTGAAAACCATGGCACGAGAACTAGGTGATGAATGCACAAGCTTCAGCAGCCGATTCGATCCACTGGAAGAAAGGCTATCAGTGATTGAAGATCAAATGAATGAAATGAAGTGAGAAGAGAAGTTTAGAGAAAAAAGAATATAAAGAGACGAACAAAGCCTCCAAGAAATATGGGACTATGTGAAAAGACCAAATCTACGTCTGATTGGTGTACCTGAAAGTGACGGGGAGAATGGAACCAAGTTGGAAAACACTCTGCAGGATATTATCCAGGAGAATTTCCCCAACCTAGCAAGGCAGGCCAACATTCAAATTCAGGAAATACAGAGAATGCCACAAAGATACTCCTCGAGAAAAGCACTCCAAGACACATAATTGTCAGATTCACCAAACTTGAAATGAAGGAAAAAATGTTAAGGGCAGCCAGAGAGAAAGGTTGGGTTACCCACAAAGGGAAGCCCATCAGACTAACAGCGGATCTATTGGCAGAAACTCTACAAGCCAGAAGAGAGTGGGGGCCAATATTCAACATTCTTAAAGAAAAGAATTTTCAACCCAGAATTTCATATCCACCCAAACTAAGCTTCATAAGTGAAGGAGAAATAAAATCCTTAACAGACAAGCAAATGCTGAGAGATTTTGTCACCACCAGGCCTGTCCTACAAGAGCTCCTGAATGAAGCACTAAACATGGAAAGGAACAACCTGTACCAGCCACTGCAAAAACATGCCAAATTGTAAAGACCACCGAGGCTAGGAAGAAACTGCATCAACTAATGAGCAAAATAACCAGCTAACATCATAATGACAGGATCAAATTCACATATAACAATAGTAACCTTAAATGTAAATGGGCTAAATACTCCAATTAAAAGACACAGACTGGCAAATTGGATAAAGAGTCAAGACCCATCAGTGTGCTGTATTCAGGAGACCCATCTCACATGCAGAGACACACATAGACTCAAAACAAAGGGATGGAGGATGATCTACCAAGCAAATGGAAAACAAAAAAAGGCAGGGGTTGCAATCCTAGTCTCTGATAAAACAGACTTTAAACCAACAAAGATCAAAAGAGACAAAGAAAGCCATTACATAATTGTAAAGGGATCAATTCAACAAGAAGAGCTAACTATCCTAAATATATATGCATCCAATACAGGAGAACCCAGATTCATAAAACAAGTCCTTACAGACCTAAAAAGAGACTTAGACTCCCACACAATAATAATGGGAGACTTTAACACCCCACTGTCAACATTAGACAGATCAACGAGACAGAAAGTTCACAAGCATATCCAGGAATTGAACTCAGCTCTGCACCAAGCAGAAGTAATAGACATCTACAGAACTCTCCATCCCAAATCAGCAGAATATACATTCTTCTCAGCACCACATAGCACTATTCCAAAATTGACCACATAGTCAGAAGTAAAGCACTCCTCAGCAAATGTAAAAGAACAGAAATTATAACAAACTGTCTCTCAGACCACAGTGCAACCAAACTAGAACTCAGGATTAAGAAACTCACTCAAAATCGCTCAACTACATGGAAACTGAACAACCTGCTCCTGAATAACTACTGGGTACATAATTAAATGAAGGCAGAAATAAAGATGTTCTTTGAAACCAATGAGAACAAAGACACAACATACCAGAATCTCTGGGACACATTTAAAGCTGTGTGTAGAGGGAAATTTATAGCACTAAATGCCCACAAGACAAAGCAGGAAAGATCTAAAATTGACACCCTAACATCACAATTAAAAGAACTAGAGGAGCAAGAGCAAACACATTCAAAAGCTAGCAGAAGGCAAGAAATAACTAAGATCAGAGCAGAACTGAAGGAGATAGAGACACAAAAAACCCTTCAAAAAATCAATGAATCCAGGAGCTGGTTTTTTGAAAAGATCAACAAAATTGACAGACCGCTAGCAAGACTAATAAAGAAGAAAAGAGAGAAGAATTAAATACGTGCAATAAAAAACGATAAAGGGGATATCATGACCGATCCCACAGAAATACAAACTACCATCAGAGAATACTATAAACACCTCTACACAAATAAACTAGAAAATCTAGAAGAAATGGATAAATTCCTGGACACATACACCCTCCCAAGACTAAACCAGGAAGAAGTTGAATCCCTGAATAGACCAATAACAGGCTCTGAAATTGAGGCAATAATTAATAGCCTATCAACCAAAAAATGTCCAGGACTAGATGGATTCACAGCCGAATTCTACCAGAGGTACAGGGAGGAGCTGGTACCATTCCTTCTGAAACTATTCCAAACAACAGAAAAAGAAGGAGTCCTCCCTAACTCATTTTATGAGGCCAGCATCATCCTGATATCAAAGCCTGGCAGAGATACAACAAAAAAAGAGAATCTTAGACCAATATCCCTGAGGAACATCGATGCAAAAATCCTCAGTAAAATACTGGCAAACCGAATCCAGCAGCACATCAAAAACCTTATCCACCATGATCAAGTGGGCTTCATCCCTGGGATGCAAGGCTGGTTCAACATATGCAAATCAATAAACGTAATCCAGCATATAAACAGAACCAAAAACAAAAACCACATGACTATCTCAATAGATGCAAAAAAGGCCTTCGACAAAATTCAACAGCCCTTCATGTTACAAACTCTCAATAAATTAGGTATTGATGGGATGTATCTCAAAATAATAAGAGCTATTTATGACAAACCCACAGCCAATATCATACTGAATGGGCATAAACTGGAAGCATTGCCTTTGAAAACTCGCACAAGACAGGGATGCCCTCTCTCACCACTCCTATTCAACATAGTGTTGGAAGTTCTGGCCAGGGCAATCAGGGAGGAGAAAGAAATAAAGCATATTCAATTAGGAAAAGAGGAAGTCAAATTGTCCCTGTTTGCAGATGACATGATTGTATATCTAGAAAACCCATTGTCTCAGCCCAAAATCTCCTTAAGCTGATAAGCTACTTCAGCAAAGTCTCAGGATACAAAATCAATGTGCAAAAATTACAAGCATTCTTATACACCAATAACAGACAAACAGAGAGCCAAATCATGAGTGAACTCCCATTCACAATTGCTTCAAAGAGAATAAAATACCTAGGAATCCAACTTACAAGGGATGTGAAGGACCTCTTCAAGGAGAACTACAAACCACTGCTCAATGAAATAAAAGAGGATACAAACAAATGGAAGAACATTCCATGCTCATGGATAGGAAGAATCAATATCGTGAAAATGGCCATACTGCCCAAGGTAATTTATAGATTCAATGCCATCCCCATCAAGCTACCAATGACTTTCTTCACAGAATTGGAAAAAACTAAAGTTCATATGGAACCAAAAAAGGGCCTGCATTGCCAAGACAATCCTAAGCCAAAAGAACAAAGCTAGAGGCATCATGCTACCTGACTTCAAACTATACTACAAGGCTACAGTAACCAAAACAGCATGGTACTGGTACCAAAACAGAGATATAGACCAATGGAACAGAACAGAGCCCTCAGAAACAATACCACACATCTACAACCATCTGATCTTTGACAAACCTGAGAAAAACAAGAAATGGGGAAAGGATTCCCTATTTAATAAATGGTGCTGGGAAAACCGGCTAGCCATATGCAGAAAGCTGAAACTGGATCCCTTCCTTACGCCTTATACAAAAATTAATTCCAGATGGATTAAGGACTTAAATGTCAGACCTAAAACCATAAAAACCCTAGAAGAAAACCTAGGCATTACCATTCAGGACATAGGCATGGGCAAGGACTACATGTCTAAAACACCAAAAGCAATGGCAACAAAAGCCAAAATTGACAAATGGGATCTAATTAAACAAAAGAGCTTCCGCGCAGCAAAAGAAACTACCATCAGAGTGAACAGGCAACCTACAGAATGGGAGAAAATTTTTGCAATCTACTCATCTGACAAAGAGCTAATATCCAGAATCTACAAAGAACTTAAACAAATTTACAAGAAAAAAACAAACAACCCCTTCAAAAAGTGAGCGAAGGATATGAACAGACACTTCTCAAAAGAAGACATTTATGCAGCCAATAGACACATGAAAAAATGCTCAGCATCACTGGCCATCAGAGAAATGCAAATCAAAACCACAATGAGATACCATCTCCCACCAGTTAGAATGATGATCATTAAAATGTCAGGAAACAACAGGTGCTGGGAGAGGATGTGGAGAAATAGGAACACTTTTACACTGTTGGTGGGATTGTAAACTAGTTCAACCATTGTGGAAGACAGTGTGGCAATTCCTCAAGGATCTAGAACTAGAAATACCATTTGACCCAGCCATCCCATTACTGGGTATATACCCAAAGGAATATAAATCATGCTGCTATAAAGACACATGCACACGATGTTCATGGCGGCACTATTCACAATAGCAAAGACTTGGAACCAACCCAAAGGTCCATCAATGATAGACTGGATTAAGAAAATGTGGCACATATACACCATGAATACTATGCATCCATAAAAAAGGATGAGTTCATGTCCTTTGTAGGGACATGGATGAAGCTGGAAACCATCATTCTCAGCAAACTATCGCAAGGACAAAAAACCAGACACTGCATGTTCTCACTCATAGGTGGGAATTGAACAATGAGAACACTTGGACACAGGAAGGGGACTATCACCCACTGAGGCCTGTCGTGGGGTGCGGGGAGTGG
Source organism: Homo sapiens (assembly GCF_000001405.40). Lineage (NCBI taxonomy): Eukaryota > Metazoa > Chordata > Mammalia > Primates > Hominidae > Homo > Homo sapiens. The sequence continues at coordinate 40,333,898 of NC_000007.14, read as the reverse complement.
GGAGGGATAGCACTAGGAGATATGCCTAATGTAAATGACGAGTTAATGGGTGCAGCACACCACCATGGCACATGTATACATATGTAACAAACCTGCACATTGTGCACATGTACCCTAGAACTTAAATTTAAAAAAAAAGAGCCACTGGTCGATGCTGTCACTAAATTATATATATGTGTGTATTTTATAAATATTTATATATATATATATATATATATATATATATATATTTTTTTTTTTTTTTTTTTTTTTTTTTTTTTTTGAGACAGAGTCTCGCCCTGTCACCCAGGCTGGAGTGCAGTGGTGTGATCTTGGCTCACTACAACCTCCACCTCCCGGGATCAAGCAATTCTCCTGCCTCACCCTCCCAAGTAACTGGGGTTACAGGTCCATGCCCCCACACTGGGCTAATTTTCATATTTTTAGTAGAGATGTGGTTTCGCCATGTTGGCCAGGCTGGTCTCAAACTCCTGACCTCAAGTGATCCACCTGCCTCAGCCTCCCAAAGTGCTGGGATTATAGGTGTGAGCCACCACGCCCGGCCACTAAATATACTATTATTATTACATACTGACCATGTGTTTCCTCATTCACAGAGAATATATTTGTCCAGCATTATTTTATACATTTTCTTTACTGTTTTCATTATATTCAATCTGTTTTCATCATTCTGTACATAAAATGTTATAATTCCACTATTTCATCCAACCCTGATGCTCCTAAAGATTTCCTAACCCAGCAGTAGTAGTTTCCATTAGTTTCTACTAATTTACTCCTTCTACCAAGATTATGAAAGGAAAATGGAATCAGGATACTTACTTGCCACCAATCATTCTATCCATTCTTTTTTTATGCTTTTAGCATTTACGTATCTAATATGCATATAAATACTTGGGGACTATACGTTTCTACAAAACTGTTAATTTGCTGTCTAGATGGATGGATGATTTTGCCATGCCCAACACACCACCTTCATCCAATACACCACTAAATCCTCTTCTCCTGTCACTACTCCCTCCACTGCCTGACACCATAACCCTAGCAAGGTCTGTGTCAAATTGGGTCTCATGCTTCCTCTGCACTTATCAACTTTCTCCCAGTTTTTAGGTTAAACCCTAAACTGCCACTTAACAGATTCACTACACACAGAGCTCATTTTCTGGCCCCCCACATTAATGCAACACCTCAATGCACCATTATGTTTGCTGAACAAACCTCAGATTCTTTTGCAGTCTACACAGTAACACTATTATAAGTTTTGTTCCCTGCCTCCCAGCTTCTTTGAACTAGGACTGAACTTACTGATTTGATTCCTACAATGGAAACAGGAATGACATGGTAGGCAAAAAAGAACAATCCACACCCCTTCTAAAGTTTCTTGAGATGCATTTTAAACAATGACTAGAAATATATCTTAAATTTAACTATGTAAAAAAAAAAAAACAAAAAAAAAAATCCAATGCAGATTCCAAAAGTCTAACAAGAAAGATGAGTTTATTTTTAAGATACATAATGCTCTTAATTCTTTAATATTGTATTCTTCTTCTATTTGAGACAGCACACTACTAATACAGGTGATGTCACATCAGAATCTCCATCATTCTTCATCAGTGGCATATTATCAAGCGAAACCATGGGGCTGTTTATGATGGAAGTGCAAAGATTCTTACTAGGATGTTTTCAGGATGAGAGATCTCTTCAGACTTCCTTGAAGTTGTTTTCCAAGACTGCTGCTAACCAAGTAATGTTCTGGTGACCCCAAGGTGTCAGTCATAGCTATTCAAAGTCTAGAGGTCCTCCCTGAACCAAAAATGGTCATTCCAAACCAATAAAGATAATAAAGAACAGACAATCTGGAATTTATGTGGCAAACATTCAATAAGAATTTGGCAGTTTGCTTCTAAGAGTTTGTTTCTCTTTAGAAATAAAGCTTAAATCAGTGACTATGCCATTTGCAGTTTAAATGGCCCAGCCTGTAAGATGGCTATACTAACAACACTAACGGTGCTAACAATTCTACTGAGCTTGATCACCATGAGGGAAATTTTCATTGAGAATCTCAGTGTGGAACTTCTCTCCCAGTTACTGTTCTAGGATTCACATGTTTCCCTGCCCCTCTACCAGACTACCAATCTGCTCCCCACTGACCCACACCATTGTCATGAACACATTGGCCAGGCAGAGGAAAAGGAAGACTTCTCCATGACCCAGAGCTCCACTCTGGTGGACAAAACCTATAGGAACAAGGACTCCTGGCAGTTGATGAACTGGGTTATCAGCTGGGAGATAAAGATAGCAGCAGGCCTGCGGTCTCTGAGCTCGTGTAGTACTGGCAGTCACAGCTACCGGCTACTGAACATATGCTATGTGCCAGACCCTATGCCACATATTTTAAATGCACTGTCCTGTGACTTGTCACCAGGTAGTAATATACCTATTTTATACATGAAGAAATTAAGGATCAGTGAGATGAAGCAATGTGCCAAGGTCTGTCTGACTCCAAAGCTCATGCATGCTTTTAAACACTACACCTAAATGTGCTGCTATCTCTAGCAAGTTGAGTCTCAGCAGCAACAAGTGAAAAGAAAAAGGAAAAAAAAATTCAGCAGTAAAGAGGATGGGTGTGTAAAATACTATCACTGAAGAAGTAGATGTTTAGACTGTGCCTAAGAATAGGAATGGGCATTTTAGGCTTGTTTTCCATGATTTAAATCAAGCTTGTCCAACCCGCAGCCCCCAAGCCGCATGTGGCCCAGGACGCTTTGAATGCCCAATATAAATTCATGAATTTTCTTACAATATTACGAGATTTTTTTTGTGATTTTCTTGTTTAGCTCATCAGCTATCTTTGGTGTTGCTGTATTTTATGTGTGGCCCAAGACAATTCTTCTTCTTTCAATGTGGCGCAGGGAAGTCAAAAAATTATCTAAATTTTAGATAATGTTTTAGAAAAATAAAATTCATTTTCACTAAAATGCTTCAAAATTAATTCTGTTTCTGGTCATAAGGAATCACATCAGAATAAATGATGTTAGAAAAGACCCTAAAGCTTAGAAGTAATTACTATGGTGACCTTAATTATTTGAACAAAAGAAAATTATATGTAAGCTAAAACTGTATTGTTTTTACATCAATAAAACCATTTTCTTGGCTGAAATTACCCAAACCAAGTATTTGCCACGCATTTAGTGATATAAAGTAAATAAATGCCCCCCCATCCAGAAGAGGAAATACACACACTCACAAAACACACTCAAGCACACACAAACACTTGCTACTTTATGACTTGTTTGCTAACCTTGTTAACTGAAACAGAGGAAAAACCATGCCGGACTTAGAGGTAGGAGCGTTTGCCAGCAGGTAATTTCTTTCAAGAACTAACTTTTCTCAAGCTAGGCATCCGGCAAAAAAAAAAATCGGATCTTCTAAAGCATAGTCCTTACCCTCTTCACCCTTCTTTCCTAATATGCAGACCTAACCAGTTGTTAACAGGACCTTTCCTAGGAACCTCATACATCTCTAAATGTATATCTTCTCCCTCAGGATATTACTTTACCTGTAAATGTCCCTATATTCACCTTCATGGCTGAAACTAACTCCCTACAAGATTACATTTGGGACATTATTTCCTAAGCAGACTCAATCTTCTTTATAAAACTTCCCTTGAGACACCTCACACACTCAGAAAGGTCAGCACTTCCTCCAACAATCACATCTTAGAGGCTGATGCTAATTTCAGGATACAGCCTTGCTTCCTTTCTGTTCTCAATAATGTCTACGGAGATCAAATCTGTATGTTTATTCTGTGTTGCTGTGCTCAGAAGCCCAGGATGCTGTTCTCTCAGTGAGCCTGTCACAGCATCTGCAGTGTATTCTCTGCTGAGGTTATATAATGACAGACTAACCCATGCAACAGGGAAGACAGTAGGCAGGAGTGCCAATCCAAAAAAATGGAAATCATTCCCAGGAATCTCTCTCCAGGACTTTGAACCATAGAGAATGATAGTTTTACCTTAAATAATCAATGTGTATATCAGTAGCTGTAAGGATGGGGAGGAAATCATCTAATAATAATATGATCATGTTCAGGGATTCTTGCAAATCCCCATTGAAAAATCCTGTCCCATTACCAGGTTACAAGAGTGACATCTAGTGGACTCATATTAGAATGACAACAAGGGTCTAAGGAAAACAAATCACCTGTGCACACATCTTGTTAAAATGCAGATTCTGGTTCATTAGAATGAATCTATTACTTCTAACTTCCAGGTGATGCCAATGCTGCCACTCCATAGACTACTCAGTGTCACTAGGACCCAGAGCATTTCGCACCTGCTTTCACCCTCAGGCGAGAAGGAGGAGGGGGCACTTGAGAGTAAATACTTTCCAGGTGAAAAATAGGCCAAATGAATTATTAATATAATTCTGTATAATGTTCCTATTTCACTAGCACCACTCAGCATGCACACGTACCATTTCCTGTCTGGGCAGGGTCCCTGAAGCAGTACTCCTTTTCCTAAATGCCAGAAGCAAACTTAAGAAGGAAACAGCCTATTTCACAGCCATACTTATACATCAACATGATTTGTTCAAGTCTCCAGTACAGATTCACTTCAGTACTTAACATCTTACAGGCTTTCTACCATTGTTATATTATTTGCCTAATATTAAACTATAATAGTAATTGGTACCATATCAGAACTCAGTTATTTTCCCCCCAGGCAGCCTGCACCTGAACTGAGATCTATCAGGGTACTGTGTTGGTGCTAAGCACAGCTACTCAGAATTTCAACAAGATTTGCACTGGACACCCCTAGGAACAAAACAGGACATGTAACTACATGCGAATCCAACTGTTTCCATAAACTAGTCCTGTGTGATTTATTTGAGCTAAAGAGCCCTGACCTCCACACAGAGCCACCAGGCTAGACTCTTAGCTGCGAGGTAATGTGCGTGTCCCTTCAAAGAGGAGCTATGCCAGGCCTCACCCAAACTCTTCCCACCTAGGCCTCCACCTTGGGTAGATTTGAACCCATTCTTTGGTTTTAGGTCCACAGTTCTAGGAACGACAACAATGATTTCCAGCACTGAAGGAAATCAGTCTCTTTTCTCCAAAACACATACACATACACACACATACACACACATGCACACACATACACACACATACACACACACATACACATGTACAAAACCCACTTTCTTGTTCAATAAAGTCCTTCAGTACAAGATGATCGATCTAGGACAAGTAATGAGTTTTAAGCAGTGGAATCCCTGTTTCAAAAAACTACCAGAAGGTGGAATTGTTCTGGTTGAAATGGGGTGTGAATACTTAGAAAACTGTCTACTTGGTTTCTACCCAGGCTATCCCCCTCCTTAGGCCCTGGAATACTCCTCCTCATGTCCCAAATATTCCTTCCCATCCCAGCTCTGTCCCCACACTACCAAACTCCAGAAATACAGGTTGAAAACTAGAAACGATGAGTCTCACAACAGCTAAAACCATCCCCAACTCCTATATTGCTCAAGGACTGTTCTCATTAAATAGATGGAACTGTTAATAGGTAGAGTTGCTTCACTATACCATCACTTACTTATGAACCTAATACCATTTTAGCATATGCGACCAAAGGATTTATTCAAAAGATGTACAACCTGATTTCTGAAGGAAATTTGCTTTTAAGTCATAATTAAGGATCCCTGTGATGAGTAAACAACAGAATTGTTTATACCTCTTGAATTGCTCTTGGCAGTCCTAAAGGGGAAATTATGTAGAGGAAAAGGTCACATAATTATTTCTCAAAAGTAGGATAAAGATAGAAAATGAAACTAAACATGCAGCATTGTATCATCTGCCTATACAGTACAATGAGCTCAAGTCCCCCTGCCTCAGTTAGAATCCCAGTTATACCATGGACTTGTGACCCTGCACAAGTTATCTAAACTCTCTATGCCTCAGTTTCCACATGTGAAAGTGGAGATAATAGCAATAACTATTTTAAGGGCTGTGGTAAATATTGATTTAATATATGTAAGATATTTAATAACACAGTAATCATTGATAAATGTTACATCTGATAATTATTATAGTGATTAAGATAATATTACTAGAACTAATGACTGAATATTCAAAATGGCCTTTGATTCTTTTAGATAATTTTAGCCAAATATGTTAGGCATAGAAAATATAAAAACACATTAGTTCTGCACATATATTAAGAATACAAGAAAAGCCGAAAAAATCTTAAAGGAACTAGGGATTTACTACTTTTACTTTCCTTGCACCACCTTCTATTTTACCTCTTAGCGAAACACATTTAAAACACTATATGTCAGAGGGAATTCTGAGTTTAAAAAATCATAATAGTCTTTGAACAGTTGTAAGTGCATTTATTCTTTGTGCAATAGTTACCCTTGGACATCATGTTACCTTATTTATGTTAACTTCAGAAATTTTGTTTTAAATCAAAGACAGCCAAATCTTTCCTAAGAAGTAGCCCAGAGGGTGGCAGCTATTATGCCGCAGCTGGCACATCTGCCTTAATTTTACCTGCTCCTGGACTGCCCAGTGACCTATATTCTTCAGACTGTGGCAACCTCCTGGCCAACTGGTTCCAAATTTAACCAGGATCTTCAAACAAAAGATTTTGTCTTGCTTTAACAAGAATCCCAAATCCGTAAGGATCAAGGCATACACAAAGGCAAATATTCAAAAGCTACCTGGCCAAAAACTTTAGAACTAAAGGGGCTGGGGGTTCATACAATCCATGCCTTAATTTACCAGAAAACCAACTTTTGAATATTCTAACTCATCAGTGCTAATTAATCAAAAGTTTGTAGAAGCCTCTGAAATGTAATCTAATGTCTTTGCTATCACCTACTCTTTCGTTCCCAATAAATCTCCAAATATTTTTTAATGGGTAAGCATTATCGACATTCTTTGCAATTTTAAGGGTATAAAAACAAGTGTTTAAAATATTCTATTTCCTTCACTTTTTAAAACCAAAAGAGAAATCTCCACAATTTTTTGCTCTTACAAAGGTGAGTATATATTTTTTATAAAGGTAGGTTCCCATCTTGTGGGCTTCTCAGAGATTACTCCTGAAAATCATTTTTGTCATGGTTCCTTTTGTTAAGTATGAATCTATACCCAATCTCAATTAATTAAACCATTCAATAAACTAGAAGCCTTACTCCCTGTAACAACTGAGTGATGCTGCCATACATGATTCTCCTCAAACTCTATTAATTTTAATAATGCTATATTTGGACAATGAGCTGAAGGCTACAATTTCCGAAAAAGTTCTACAAAGAGTTTTTTTAAAACAAAATTACCACAGCGTGTTGCCCTCTTTTCTTCTCTAAAAAATGAAAAGAAATTAAGCTAAAAATCCCATAAAGTTTAAGAAAGAAATTCAGCTCTGTTTATTTATTTACTCTGCCCCTAAGCTTCTATGGGTAGTTTTCATAGAGACTATTTCATATTTTCATAGAAACTATTATTCACAAAAGCTATAATTATTAGTTCAACACACCAATAATAACAGGAGCCACCTTTTATTGAGGGCTTTCTAGAGTCAGATGCTGCACAAAACACTTAGTACAATGATCTCTTTTAATTCTCCAGGCCTGTCTGACCCCAAAGCTCAAGTTCTCCCAACTTTCCCTGCTATATTGCCTTTGAGTCCCTTGAAATCAAGGGCCCAGTTCTTCCTCATTTGGAGGCTTTCAGGACTAAAACACTGCCTACCCCACAGGGTACTCAAGAAATTATGTTTTAATTGGTTTGTCAAGAGTCATTTGAAAGCAATGTACTGAAACCATGGTAGGGGGAAACCTACACTTGCCCTACAGCTCATAATTCAAAGATACTTCTGTAGCAAGGCCAGCTATTAGGTTTGGTACCCACTAGAATCATAATAAACTTGACATTTGTTAAAGAGATAATGGAAACAGATTAGAAGAATTCTAGAATCTGCCAAAAACAAACAAAAAAAAAAGACGCACATCCATGATGCATCCAGCTTAGTTTGGATACAGTCAGAAAAGAAATTTGTTTTTGTTTTGTTGTTGTTGTTTGTTTTGTTTTGTTTTGAGACGGAGTTTTGCTCGTCGCCCAGGCTGGAGTGCAATGGTGCAATCGCAGCTCACTGCAACCACCACCTCCTGGTTTCAAGCGATTCTCCTGCCTCAGCCTCCCGAGTAGCTGGGATTACCGGCACGCACCACCACGCCCAGCTAATTTTTGTATTTTTTAGTAGAGACGGGGTTTCCCCATGTTGGCCAGGCTGGTCACAAACAGAAACAAGTTTTAAAACCTTAAATCCATGGTTCCTATTTATTCTAGAACATAACTGCTTAATGTCTCTAGGCTTCCCTTTCATCAAACTAAAAGAAGAATAAGCAAAAATTTTATAAATACATACATACATGTATGTATACATATATCTCCCAGCTACATAGTACATGTCTGTTGGTAACCATCATGATTATTGTTACTGTTATTACTAATACAACAATTATTTTAAACATGTGATAGAATCATATGCCTGTTTATACCTTCACATTTTAGTGCCTTAGTGTGACTATGGTAAAATAAATAAATAGAAAGTCACACAAGAAGAGACAGATGTATATCATTTATATTTTGACTTTTTAAAAAAAAATCCTTAACATGTGTTTAAGAAAAAAAAAGAAAAAGATTCCCAATGTTACCTAATCTGCCATGATTTAACAGCACTTTGACATTTTTCTAAGGAATGATAGCAAAGTACTGCATATCTTCAAACTTGGAATTTACTGCCTGTCTGAGTCTCTGCTTCTGCCAAATTAAATATACAGTATAATGTCCCCACCAGAAATAACATAGCACAGCTTCCTGCTCTACTCCTTGGTTGAATAAGCCCAAATTGGAACAAGGAAGATGTTATTTTATTTAATCATGTAAATAATTGTTTTCTTCAACCTCTTGAGTTAGAAGCTACTTCAGAAGAAAAGTTTAGAAGAAATTACCATGTGAATTATCAGGCCATTTAAAGGAAAATTCCCATTGAAAGGCTCATGAAAGAGCATAAAAAAAGAATTCTCACTAATGAACTACTCAGAAAGTCAACTACCCCTAGCTATTGCATACCACCTGAACTCCTGGGGTCTCCCATTGGTCTGCAAAGCACAGACCACATCATAGAATAGACAGTAGAGGGCTTCCATCCAGCAATCACCCAAAATTTTTTGGAAGAGTCCTGTATAGTAGCACATATAGAAATAGGATAGGATTTGAAAAAGACATTGCTTGGGAATCAAAGAAAGGTTGGTGGGCTTTTTAAGGTCAAAACTATGATCTGGCTGGGCGTGGTGGCTCATGCCTGTAATCCCAGCACTTTGGGAGGCCGAGGCAGGTGGATCACCTGAGGTTGGGAGTTCAAGACCAGTCTGGCAAACATGGTGAAACCCCATCTCTATTAAAAATACAAAAATTAGCCTGGCATGGTGACGTATATCTGTAATCCCAGCTACTTGGGAGGCTGAAGCACAAGAATTGCTTGAACTTGGGAGGTGGAGGTTGAAGTGAGCTGAGATTGCGCCACTGCACTCCAACCTGGGCAACAGAGCAAGACTCTGTCTCAAAAAATAAATATATATATATTTATTTATTTATTTATTTATATATATGATCATCTGCTTATCCTATGAAGTATAATACAGGTGATAGAGGACATAAAATGCAGATGCAATGCCCTTAGGCAAAATATGGAAAGGGACGCTTCCTCTCTTGTGACAGGAAGGAATGCAGTGATCTATATATAGGTTCAAATGCAAGAGTTTGGGAGGTACAGTAGAGAAAAGATAAGGTAGTTCTCTTTTGATTGCATTAATTTTAAGTGGAATAAGAGACAAAGTCTTTAAGGATGAGGAGAGATGGAAAGATCTTAGAGAAGAGAAGATGTGAGGTAGTCATCTCAGAGGGGGAGAAAATAAATTACCTAGGTAAAGGTGGCAGGATTTCTGGGTAAGCCCGAGGGGCCACTTGAGAGAGATGGCCATGGATTGGGAGGGAGATCATCAGCAAAGTAGCATATTTTCTTCTGGCCATATCCACCACTTGACTGCAGGCCAGGAATAGATGAACTATTAAGTCTATCCGCACTGGGATTTTGCCAGTTGAGTATAAAGGCAAAGCTATAGTCATTGATAATAACAGTCTAAGTCTGCGAGCAATGGCTCACAGCTGTAATCTTAGCACTTTGGGAGGTGAAGGTGGGAAGATCACTTGAGTCCAGGAGTTCAAGACCAGCCTGGGCAAGATGATGAGACCCTGTCTCTAAAAAAAACTTTTTAAATAGCTGGGCATGGTGGTGTGTGCCTGTGGTCCCAGCTATTACTCGGGAGGCTGAGGTGGGAGGTTTGCTTGAGTTTGAGGCTGCAATGTGCTATGATCACACCACTACTCCAGCCTGGACAACAGAGAGAGACTCTGTCTCTAAAAAAATAATGATAATAATGCATTTTAGATCTGGAAACTGAGTGCTCCTACTAACAGCATCAACATCACCTTGAAACAGAATCTGCATCTTAACAAGACATCCAAATGATTCACATGCACTTTAAACTTTGAGAAACACCAAGTGAATGGGAGTGGGAGCCAAGTGAGAACAGAAAAGGATCACTGCAAGAGAGGAGAGGTTAAAGAAAGAAGAGGGTGGACTGTTGCAAGGGTCCTCTATGTGGATTTTACAGCCACCAAGACTGATGACAGGAGAAATGACTGGGTCAAAAGAAGAGAGATTAACAGAGCCATATGGGAAAATTGTCCAGGTGATAACAGATGGCCAAAAGGTTTGGAGTTCTGGTTGTAATTGAGGCAAATGGGTATAAGGAGTGATGGGACTCATTCTGGTAGTAGTTTATTTTATTTTATTTTATTTATTTTATTTGAGACAGGGTCTCGCTCTGTCACTCAGACTAGAGTACAGTGGTGCAATCACAGCTCACTGTAGCCTCAACCTTCCAAGTCAGGTGGGAGGCTCAAGCAATCCTCCCACCTCAGCCTCCAGAGTAGCTGGGACCACAGGCTTGTGCCATCATGCCTAGTTTCTTCTTCTTTTTTATTTGAGAGACAGGTCTCACTATGTTGCCCAGGCTGGTCTCAAACTCCTGAGTTCAAACAATCCTCCCGCATCAGTAGTGCTGGGATTACAGGCGTGAGCCACCATGACTGGCTCTGGTAGTCTTTTTAAGGAAAGGTTACAGTCTTATTCTCAAGACCGGCCTCTTGGGCAATTTACCCTGTCATGAGGGCAACACTATAGCTGAAGGAGTTGTGGTTTTGCCAGGAGCACAATAAACTGTGAGCTCCCTCAATTCCTGCTGCCAAAGGAATGAGCTGGGGGGACAGATGGTCTCATCAGAAACACAGTCTGGTGGGCTTCTATTAGATCCTCACATCAGCTTGCCCCTTGGGAAGGGATTCACTGTATATCAAAACTAAATCATTAAGCACTTAGTATAGTGGTAGCTACCCAAAGATCTGTGGGCACAAAGACTGTGCCTGCACTAGAGAGCATAAAAACTCATAGAAGACTAGAGAAATTCATTGCTCTTGAAAAGGAGAAGAGAGACAAGGGACCTCTGAAGCCAGAAAGGAGAAGGGAGAGAGAGAGACACAAGATGGGGAGATTCTTATGCTATTCAGAACAGTGAAACTCCCTGGTAACAATCAAAGGATATGGTTAGAAAGGTGAGGCCTCCTGTTGTAAGACTGGGTACATTTCATCTATAAAAAAACACTGCTCTTAAAATGTAAGAACAGATGGTGAGGACATGGAGAAAAGAGAATGCTTATAGCCTGTTGGTGTGAATGTAAATTAGTACAACTTCTATGGAGAACAGTATAGAGATTTCTCAAAGAACTAAAAAATAGAACTACCATTCAATCCAGCAATCCCACTACTGGATACCTGCCCAAAGGAAAAAAAATCAAGATCTCAAAAAGATACTTGCATTCACATGTTTATCGCAGCACTATTCACAATAACAAAATCATGGAATAAACCTAAGTGCCTGTCAACAATGGACTGGATAAAGAAAATGTGGTATATCTATACCATGGAATACTACTCAGACATAAAACAAGAGTAAAATCATATCGTTTGCAGCAACATGGATGGAATTGGAGGCCATGATCTTAATGTAAAATAACTCAGAAACATCAAGTCAGGCTGGGCACGGTGGCTCTCGCCTGGAATCTCAGCACTTTGGGAGGCCAAGGTGGGTGGATCACCTGAGGTCAGGCATTCGAGACCAGCCTGGCCAACATGGTGAAACCCCGTCTCTACTAAAAATACAAAAATTATCCAGGCATGGTGGCACAGGCCTATAGTCCCAGCTACTCGGGAGGCTGAGTCAGGACAATCACTTGAACTCGGTAGGCAGAGGTTGCAGTGAGCTGAGACAGCACCATTACACTCCAGCCTCGGCAACAGAGCAAGACTCTGTCAAAATAAAACAAAGTAAAACAAAAATGGCTGGGCACGGTGGCTCATGGCCATAATCCCAGCACTTTGGGAGGCCGAGGTGGGCAGATTACTTGAGGTCAGGAGTCTGAGACCAGCCTGGCCAGCATGGCAAAACCCTGTCTCTACTAAAAGTACAAAAAATTAGCCAGGCGTGATGGCGTTTGCCTGTAATCCCAGCTACTCAGGAGGCCGAGGGGGGAGAATCACTTGAACCGAGGAGGCAGAGGTTGCAGTGAGCCGAGATCGCACCATACACTCCAGCCTGGGTGACAGAGTGAGACTCCACTTCAAAAAAAAAAAAAAAAGAAAGAAAGAAAGAAAAAAGAAAAGAAAAAGAAACAGCAAGTCAAATGCTGCATGTTCTCACTTATAAGTGGGAGCTAAATAACATGGACATAGAGAGTGGAATAATAGACACTGGAGACTCAAAAACATGGGAGGTGGAAGGGGAGTGAGGGAGGAGAAAGTACCTATTGGATACGACATACACTATTTGGGTGATGACTGCACTAAAAGCCCAGGCTTCACCACTACATAATATTTGCATGTAACAAACCTGCACTTGTATGCTCTAAAATCTAATTTTAAAATAAGTAAATAAAAACTCCATTTTTTTCCCACTATATTCAGTATCACCTGTCCTTGTGAGTGTATTTGTGAATGGATCTTCTACGATATTGGAGACAGTAGAGGTCAGTGTGGGTCACAAACAAAGGAGGACATGGAAATGAAGGTTCCTAGAAGGTTGAAGAAATTTGGGCAAGAGTTTTAGATAGATGCAGGCTATGAAATTAAAAGAATTACCATGTTGGCCATGTATGTAAAGGGCAGTGGCCCCACTGACAACTATGTTACATAATAAAATATATTCTTTTTGGAGACCAGCTATCTGCTTTCTCTGCACCCTCCTCTCCCATCTCTAAAAGCCTACTGTCTTTAAGTATAATTGTTTAAGGGCTGGGAAACATATCTATGCATTAAAAATATTACAGGCTCACGCCTGTAATCCCAGCACTTTGGGAGGCCGAGGCAGCCAGATCACTTGAGGTCAGGCATTCGAGACCATCCTGGCCAACATGGAGAAACCCCATCTCTACTAAAAATACAAAAACCAGCCAGGCGTTTTTGTTATGCCTGTAATCCCAGCTACTCAGGAGGCTGAGGCAGGAGCATAGCTTGAACCTGGGAGGTGGAGGTTGCAGTAAGCCAAGATCACGCCACTGCACTCCAGCCTGGGTGACAGAGCGAGACTCTATCTCAAAAAAAAAACAAAAAATTAACAAATATTATGTAACTATTAATCCCTTAGGCTAAGTGCTTCTCTGTGGCAGGGTCCACTAGAAATGGGAACAAAAGAAGCAGTGAAATCTAAAACTTTTTTTTAAAAATCTGAAACCTGCCAGACACTGTGGCTGGTACCTGTAGTCTCCGCTACTCGGTATCCCAGCTACTAGGAACACTTGAGCCCAGCAGGTCGAGGCTGCAGTAAGCTATGATCACACCACTGCACTCCAGCCTGGACAACAAAGTGAGAACCAGTCTCATAAATAATAAATAAATACATAAATATCTGAATTCTCAGAAAAGCATCCACCAACATGTTCAACAAGTAGCAAAATTATGTCAGCTCTGTCTACGTTTGTCTAACTTACTTAATCTTAAAAAGCTGGCAGCCAAAGAATAGGGAAGAAAAGGGCATGAGAGGATAATCAATCTGAGAAGTTAAGAACTGCATGCTTATAAAATAACACACAAAACAAGAATCACTACTTTTCTGAAATTTACATGACATGCATTTGAGGTATACAATCTTTCAGATAGGGTTCAACAAGAATGGAGGAGAGTGAGCTAGGCACCTCAAGTAACTCCTGTGACCATCAGAGTCTTCCATTATAGACAGCCCAAAACTCAGACAACTCAACTTAGATGCAAAGTTTTCTGTAATTATTACAGAAAACTAAATTATAATTATCCTGGCATTCACCCACAAAAATATTCCCCCAATCTATTTTTAAAATTGAAAACAGACCGGGGTCTCTAAGCATATCTAGGACCCATCTTGGTATGCTAGTTTCATTTCAGCTAAATTTGCATTTATTCCTTAATCACAGTGCTGAACTAGTTCTTGGGAAGAGGAAACAAATTAATTCTGGGCTCTTGAGGAAATAACCTGGTAGATTTCTTATTTCTTATAGATAATACAGCTGCAATCAACTAAAATCAAATAAGTATACTATCCATTTTATGTGAATGGCACAATTCAACAGGAAAAGTACATTTCTATCATTGAAGAACAGACAAACACAGACACAGATACACACACAGAGAGAAAGAGAAAAAAAATCCTATGTCTTTTACTTTCCAAAATAAAAGCCAAGATTCTGAATTTCTTTTCAACACATAGTGAAATAATTGAGGGCATACCCAGGGTGCCAGAACTCTAGGTGCACATGCCCAGAAGGAATAGCTGAGGTCTATATAAAGCTTTTTAAAATGATGTTCCATTTTTTAAATGAGCAAAAAATAAACTATAAACTTTATGCTTGAACACAGTGAACACCTACCTATGTGATGGGATTTGGAATTACACTAGAGAATCTTCCAACTCAGGAATGCTTTCTTCACGTACATAAAAGGCTGAAGGCCAGGCCAGGCATGGTGGCTCATGCCTGTAATCCCAGTACTTTGGGAGGACGAGGCAGGTGGATCACTTGAGGTCAGGAGGTCGAGGCCAGTCTGGCCAACATGGTGAAACCCTGTCTCTACTAAAAATACAAAAATTAGCCAGGCGTGGTGGCACATGCCAGTAGTCCCAGCTACTCAGGAGGTGGAGGCAGAAGAACCGCTTGAACCTGGGAGGTGGAGGTTGCAGGGAGCTGAGATCGTGCCACTGCACACCCACATAGGCAACAGAGCAAGACTCTGTCTCTAAATAAATAAATAAATAAAGACTGAAAGCCAGACTTCCATTATTTGAGATGATTTCCCATAGATTCCAACATTGTTCTGTTAAAATACCCTTGAGAAAGACCTCCATTATCAATGACGAGTATAAATTTAGTTGATCAGACCCTTGACCTAGGAGCAAGTTTGATGGAGACCCTTGATAGGGGTAGAGTTGATGAAGGGAACTGAAATCACCTTTTCTTATCAAAGGTAGCAGAATCTGAAAGAATACTCAACAAGGAGGCAGGGCACCACAGTTGGAGTTCATCTGCCCAATCTAGGTATCAGATTTCTTATCTGAAAAACAAAAAGACTAAATCTGATGATCTCTAACCAATTCAACAATGTAATGACGTCTGTGAAATGAAGCAGGTCTGGTTAGAAGTATAGGGTCAGTCACAAAGGGCTAGGAAGTGGAGAAGCAAAATGTCATTAATGGTGGTCATAAAACGAATGGTGCAGACAAAGGGGAAGAACTGGAGAAAACACCTCCACAACTGTAATTACACCTAAAGATCAACTCAATGTGTTGAAAAGCAGTGCTACAGTGAAATCACAGTAATGCCTCAGGTAAAGGGCCATGAATATAAACAGAGAGGGAAGAATCCCAGGTTCATATTGGGTCAGTGCTTTCCTCAAATTCCGATTTTAAAAAATGGAAAAGAAACTAGTTTTGCCCAAGGAAATAATGTCTTAAAGCTAAAAGGATGATTAGCAGGGTTGATGAATTTCCTGGCAAATGAAAAATGCTGACTTTTTTGTTTTCTCCCAAGAGCACTAACATTGAAATGACTCCAGTAAAATTCACTCATTCATTCCACAGATATGTATATAGTACCTAACATGTGCTTCCATTGATTGTGAGAAGATATACAATGATGAAAAAGTCACCTCTACTCTTAAGAGTTTGCAATAGAGTACAGGAGATATGCAGATACATTAATAAATACAACAACATACAGTGCAACTGGACCAAGCAACTGGATTGGAAGAAGAGCTAGGTTTTGTTTTAAATTTTATTTTTGAAAGATCACAGTTACTTCACATATTCATTTACACTAGCCAAAGTCAAGAATTTCTAAGGACAAGTTAAGACACTTAATAAAGAACAGCAGCTCCTGAGCCATCTGCTTTGTTCCAAAAATGAAGAACCATCACACGCAAATTTTCATTTTACTTCAATCCTGTGAGAATATTATTGTCAGATGGGGTAGGTAACATTTGTTTTGTAACTGACATGGTTAACAAATCATGCTTTATAAAATGGCTACAGTCAGTGCCTCTTTTAGGTGGGAAAAAAAAAAAAGAAAACCATCATACGAGCCCAAAAGGCACTTACTTTCAGCAAGTTCCTTTGATCTGTTTAAGGGTCTTGTTACTAATCTCTTTCTGATGAAGAAATACGCAAAACAGAACTTAAAGTGAACAACAGAACCTTGTTATAGCCAGACACAGATACATTACAAAAAAAAAAAAAAAAAACAGCTGAAGGATTTGTGTATAAAAAGAAATCATTTTCCAAAAACACATCATATAAAACTGCAAATTACAACAGCCCAACCCTAGACTGCTGTAGTCTTACCTGGTAAGGAACGATACTGCCATGAGCTGTACCCCAACGTTTTGCTTCCTTTTGACCAATAAGATAATTTGCAGCTATGTGAGACAAACACGCCACCTACCAGGAAAAAAAGTAAATAAATAAAATAGAACAGCTAGTTTATCTATACTCATAAAGAGAACGTTATATTATGAAAGTAATTTCACTTCATCTCATTGTAGAAGAAAAAAACCTGTCCATCAAGTTAGAAAATATACAGGCATTGTACTTTTATCACACAAATGAAGAACGGCATTACACTATTGCATGAGACTAAGTAATAGTCAATTGAGAAATATAAATACATAAACGTTCAACCCCTAAAAAGATTATCTGAAAGCAGAGGTTGACCAAGCAGATGGAACCGTGGTCTGGCCTTTATCCTCAAACCCATGGCAATATACATCAGCAACTCGTGCATTTTTTTCCCCTCTGCATGTATCTCCTTTTATTTTGCACCAAGATAACACAAAGAGAGCCTGTGTCATCACTGAGTAGATGAACCAAAGCCAGGAACCACATTCCTCTAAATTTCTGATGACACAGAAAAGTAATAATAATAAACCTCCATTTTATTTAAGTCAGTTTAGCCAGGTTTTCTGTTACATTCTGCCCAAAGCATTCTGACAGAAAAGATCAAGATTATTTGAGTTTTTAAAATTAATTAGTGGATCATCCTCATTTAAAGAAACATTACTGTACTTCTCCCAATTTGTTCCTAGCCCCATGTGCTCACTGTCATACTCGATTCAATTTTTGAGAACTGCCGATCTATTAAAGGGGTCATCCAAAACCTTAGAGTCAATTTCTGACTACTGTAGTATTTCATGGACAGATCTTGACAAATCTACAATAGTTCAACTCAATATGACGATAATATGAAGATAATGAATTGATTCCTGGTGATCTGCCACAAGGATCTTATGTTCCAATGAATATTTATGGCTCCACCACCACAGAACTATGGAAAGGAGGTGATCAAATGATTTTCCATGGATTCCAGAAAAGAATAAAAAGTGGTTCAGGCCACATGACATAATCATGATATAGCACCGGCTTGCTTTTCCCTTTCTAGATCGTCAGATGCGATTGGAAAACCTACAAAGCCTGTCATTAAAACATACCCCAAATTGAGATTGGCTCCTGGAACAACTCAAGGCATGATTTTTCAGGCCTTTTCTTGCCCCCTACCTAGCACAGCAGCTGTGCTTCCTACAAGAAATATCAACAGGACTCAGCTTGGATGAATCACCTTGCTGCTGCAGCCATTCTCCTTTACTTTATTCTTGGGACTTAAACTCACTTTTATGTTCATTTACCGCTCTGTCAAAATTGGAACTGCCTGTGGCAGCTGGTTTGGCTGTACAGCCCAGGTGGCAAAACTAATAAACTTTGAGTCATCCAGTTCTAGACTTCCATCTGGTCTTGGGCATTTGAACCATGGAGCATTCCAGGGCTGCCTGGGGCCGCCTAGTGCTAATCACCATTTCACAGATCACTTCTGTGTCTTTCAAAATGGAAAATCAAATCAACATTTTGTAGCAAAAATGCCCTGGATAGGAAGTCCAGACATGGATGGTTGAAACCTAGATGGTTTCTAATCTCTGTTGACCTCTAAATAGTTCCATGACTGTGGGTATGTAATTTACCTTCTTTGATCTTCTGATACATTCTCTATAAAGTCTTGGGCATTTCAGCTAAACCAAAGGTTTTCAAATTTTTTTTAAAAAAGCAGAACCCTCGTATTCAACCAAATAATACATGAAACCCTAATATATAAATATGTAAGCAGATAATATTTCAAGTGCTCTGGATGAAGCAGAAGCAGTCCTGCAACACCACCCAGGCAGAATGAACACAAAACACAATTTGCAAAATAGTAAGTAATCTTCAACGTGCTTACAAGGCAAATGTGGTATACACTTCGGGCTCTATTATTCCTCTTAACAATCTGGCAGATAAAAAGACAAGAGGGGCCGGGAGCAGTGGCTCACACCTGTAATCCCAGCACTTTGGGAGGCCGAGGCAGGTGGATCACCTAAGGATGGGAGTTCGAGACCAGCCTGACCAACATGGAGAAACTCCATCTCTACTACAAATACAAAATTAGCCAGGCATGGTGGCACATGCCTGTAATCCCAGCTACTTGGGAGGCTGAGGCAGGAGAATCGCTTGAACCCAGGAGGCAGAGGGTGCAGTGAGCTGAGATCGTGCCACTGCACTCCAGCCTCGGCAACGAGAGCGAAACTCTGTCTTAAAAAAAAAAAAAAAAAAAAAAGACACAAGGGATGCAATAGGAGTTATTTCCCTTGACACCCCTTCCTGAAATTGGAGACATTTTCTGACTTCTCAGGTCTCTTTTCAGATCTAGCTATGTTGTTATTCTTTTTATTTATTTTTTCATTCAAATAAATCATGGCGAATGTCACTCTCTAAGGGGCTCTGTTGCTACTGAAGGCCAAGAATTCAAATTAGTAAAGGTTATTCTGTGCAAGTAGTCAATCACAAAAGGCTTGTTATTTCTACTTCTCTAATTTCAAAGTCAATAGACCAACATCATCAAGGGCTACATGAGGTGGTGAGGTGGCTGGATGATCACAGGCCAACTTATAAATCCTAAATTGATCTAAGATAGTTGCCAGGGATAGGGAAGAACTGGATTCCTGGCTGGATATCAGCTTGGCTGCCTCATTCCTTACCCACTATCTTATTCTTTCTTTTCAATTTTTGACTTCTGTGTTTCTGACCTGCCCCATTTAGAATGAGTTTGAATGAAGAATCAGAATTCATCTCTCAAACTGTTTGCAAGTAGAATACTATATACATTTCCTCCTCCATACAGTGGTAGTTAATGAAAACAAAAAGCATTTCAGAATTAGCAGGCTCACATTGGGCAGAAGGATTAAATAAAATTTTAAGCCAATTGCCATGAAAAAACAAAGTGTGGGCCAGGAGCAGTGGCTCATGCCTGTAATCCTAGCACTTTGGGAGGCTGAGGCAGGTGGATCGCTTGAGCCCAGGAGTTCGAGACCCACCTGGGCAACATAGCAAACCTTGTCTCTACTAAAAATACAAAACAAAAAAAAAAAACAGATGGGGGGATCACCTGAGCCTGGGGAGGTCAAGGCTGCAGTTAGCGGTGATCACGCCACAGCGCTCCAGCCTCAGCAACAGAGTCTCAAAAAAAACAAAAACAAAAACAAAAACAAACAAACAAAAAAACCAAAGTGTGATTTGTCAGTAACAACTCAAAGACAAAGTTGGGGAAAAAAGAATTCTATTTTTTAAGAAAGAGAGCAACATGGCTAAACTTAGCAACTCAATGTTTAAAGGGGGTATTACCAATCTGAAAGTAATCTACTATTTACAGGGATGTATTTTAAGGCAGGAGAAGGGAGAGAAAGTCAATAGCTATGATGTGATTATGTATGAAAAAAATCAGAGGTTTCCTGGGCAATTAATGACAAATTTTGCACAAATTAAAAGAATGCAGGATGTGACTTTTTGGTTAATAACTATATACTGTATATGCATTCTAAATACTGCATTAGATCATTACTTTCATTCCCTAAACTTAGGCTTATTATTTCATCAAGTGGACGCTATATAATTTACTCAGAATGTTGCCTTTTTATGGTTTCATCTAAACAAAAAAGTCAACTTTGGTTTAATAATAATCATTCTGACAGCAAACTATTATTTTAGATAACAGAGTGGGTCCTGATATTCTTTGTTTCTAACCAGAAAACCAATGGGGTGGTCAAAATGGATCTCAAAGAGCAAAGCCCCAAAAGGCTTGAGGAAGAATATGCCCAATTATCTCTCAAAGCAGTCACATGGTGTCTGTCACCACATGCTCCACTTCCACCGAATGAGGATCAAGCTGCAATAATACAATCTTTCATCTCCAAAAGGACAACCAAGTGTGACAGGTAAAATGAAAAAAACAAGACTAGAACCATGGTTCACTGCATCAAAACGGGTCATTTTCCCCCACTTCCCTTGCATGTCTTCTGGCCTACAGCTAAGGTGAACTGAACACCAACCATGCAATCACCCACCTGCCCACATTTCCACCTATTCTTCAAAGTCTATTTCAACATCATCTTTTCCATTAAGCCCCAATCCCAGCCAGCAAGCAAGAGATTATATTTCCTGCCCCCGAATGAATACAACACTTAATTTATCTGATTTCTACTGCACTTTCACAGTCTTCCTTGTACTACAATTAGAATTGTAAGATGTCAAAGCTAGAACGAGCTAGGTCACTACTTCCTTAACCTACCCATGCATCCCCCCAGTCACCTATGGAATTCATAGAACCCACCCCATACCAAATGAATCAGGTTTTTCAGGGATGGAAACTTGGAAAAAAATAATTTCACCAGCGTAGTATTAATGGCACACCAGAGTTGAGAAGCATAGCCTTACAAGAGTCTAGTCAAACTCCTTAATATCCAGATGGATACAAAAAGGAACACAGAATAAAAATAACTTGGCCTGGCACAGTGGCTCACACCTGTAATCCCAACACTTTGGGAGGCTGAGGCAGGTGGATCACCTGAGGTCGGGAGTTCGAGACCAGCCTAACCAACATGGAGAAACTCCGTCTCTACTAAACATACAAAAAATTAGCCAGGCGTGGTGGAGCATGCCTGCAATCCCAGCTACTCGGGAGGCTGAGGCACGAGAATCGCTTGAACCCGGGAAGCAGAGGTTGCGGTGAGCCGAGATCGCGCCATTGCACTCCAGCCTGGGCAACAAGACCAACTCAAAAAAAAAAAAAACTTATGTGAGGACATACAGGTGGTTAATAACAGAACTTTACTCCAACAACATTGCCTTCCTCCATGCTACAATATTATTTATATGTTCTTCTATCCCTCCTTTTAAATAAGGAGCTATTTCAAGGTAAGACTTATTTATTTTAAACCCTTTGTGTGTTTCCATAGCACTTAACACAGATCCTGAACACTATTTTTTAACAAATGAATGAAAATGGTAATTACTACTTGTTTAATTATTCAGCAACTACTGAGTGTTGCTAATGTGTAAGGCTTTACTCTAGGTACTAAGTATACATAAGGAAATAAAAAAGATATAGTCTTGCCTTCTTTGGAATAGTAAAGAAAATAACTAAACAAAGAATTATAGGACCTGCCATGGGGAAAGAAGATGGAAGATAAAACTGGAAAACAAAGAGTAACATGTGCGAAAGCTCAAAGGCAGGAAAGGGGTTGGCATAGAGAAAGAACAAAACTGAAAGAAGACAAATATAACTAAACCATGGTGAGAAAGAGACTGAAACGAAATGAAAGAGAAAGGTAGACAGAGGCCACAGCATGCCAGTCATTGTAGTAATGGTAAGGAGCCATTCTTTGCACATCTTGCAGAATGATCATTTCAGAACAATCACAAATTGTATCGTCATTCTTCTATTTAAAACCCATAGGGATCCCCCACATTTGTAATTATATTCAAAGAATGAACTAAGAAGAGGCAAGAGAGAAAGGGGACTGTTAGGGATATTGTAAAGGTCCAGGCATAATTTGATGATAGATAGCTCAGACAAGGTTGGTAGCAGTAGACATGGAAAAATCATGAGTTTAAGATATATTTTAAGAACAGAACAGACAGAGCATGTGAAAGGTTGTATGGGCAGAGGATGCAGACAGAATGGTGACAGAGAGGAGAAACCAAACTTAACTCCCACAGTCCTGCTGAATATCTGGGTAAACTATGACAGCCTTAACAGAAAAACGGAAATCAGGGAGAGAAGTAATTGAAGCGAAAAGAAAATAAGAGCCCACCTCTGAATGTGTTGAATTTGAGATGCCTGTGATATAATCAATTAGGCAGGACTCAGCAGCCTATAGAAAGTATTTAAAAGTCCTAACCTAAGGGGAAAGAGAGATAAGAGAAGAAATCGGAAATAATATCAAACAAGAGAAGATAAAGTTTCCATGCAAAAACAGTCCTTCCTCTATCACCAAAGGGATGATCAAAGATGTAGGTATAAACTACTAGAGCCAATTTAAATGCCAAGAATGGGTGGTTTTAAATAAGCTATGACATCTGTATATAACAATAGAAGATAAATAGGCACTTAAATGACACAACAAAACAATATAGCATCATGTGGAAAAATATTCATAACATTTTATTTGAATTTTATCTGAAATAAACTTTGTATTTCAGAACATTGTTCAATTTATAGAAAAACCAAGATAGTACAGAGAATTCCCATCTACTCCACGTCCAGTATCCCTGTTATTACCATCCTATATTAGTGGAGTGCCTTCTTAACAATTACAGAGCCAATGTTGACACATTATTAACTAAAACCCACATACTCAGATTTCCTGACTTTTCACTTCATATCCTTTTTCTATTCCAAGATCCCAACCAGGATACCACATTGTATTTAGTCATCCTGGCTCCGTATTTAGTCATCCTGGCTCCTTTTCGCTGTGACAGTTCCTCATACTTTCCTTATTTTTTATGCACTGAAAGCTTTGAGGAAACTGATCAGGTATTTTGTAGAATTTTCCTCGACTGGGATTTTTGTGATGTTTTACTCATAATTAGACTGGAGTTATGAGGTTTTAAAAGAAAGACCATAAAAGAACAGCACCAATTTCAACATATCATATCAAAGATACACAGTGTCAACAATCAATCTTGATCACCTGGCTGAGGTAGTGTTTATCAGTTTTCTCTGCTGTAAGATTACTCTTTTTTCCTCCCCCTTTCCATACAGTACTCTTTGGAAGAATGTCACTACATAAGCCTATACTTAAGGGGTAGAAAGTTATGGTCCTGCTTCTGGAGGGTGGAGTATCTACATAATTATTTAGAATTTAGCACACATTTGTCTCCCTTTATTTATTTATTTATTCAATCATTTATTTAAATCAGCATGGTCATGTGTTTTTTTTTTTTTTTAATACTTTTTTGGTTATAATTCAATACCACTTTTTTGTTGTTGATCAAATTATTCCAGTTTTGGCCATTAGGACCTCTCTCCATTGGTACCTGTGTCCCTCTCGCTGTGTGGGCTTTGTTTTTAGCACTCCCTTACTTTGTGACAATATAAGATGCTATGGGCTCATCTTCCTATTTCCTTTCCCAGTCTTATAGGAAAGCATAAATAGAATAGGAGTTTTAGGGTAAAGAGCAAATATTTATTTCAGTGTCAGTCAGCACCTTATTCATTCCATACTTTTATTTAAAAGCTGATTTAGGCCAGGTGCAGTGGCTCATGTCTGTAATTCCAGCACTTTTGGAGGCCAAGGCAGGTGGATCACTTGAGGTCAGGAATTCAAGACCAGCCTGACCAACATGATGAAACCCCATCTCTACTAAAAATACAAAAATTAGCTGGGCATGGTGGTGAGTGCCTATAATCCCAGCTACACGGAAGGCTGAGGCAGGAGAATCGCTTGAGGCGGAGGTTGCAGTGAGCCGAGATAGAGCCATTGCACTATAGCCTGGGCAACAGAATGAGACTCCGTCTCAAAAACAAACAAAAAAAAAACACTGATATCACACTTACTATGTGCCAGGAATTGCTCTAGATACTGGGGATACAGCAGGGAAGGAGAAAGACATAGTCCTACTCTCATGAAGCTTACATTCTAGGGTAAGGTACATTCAGACATATACAGGAAAATATCAAGAAATGATTCGTGCTATGAAGAAAATGCAACAGAATCACAGAGAGTGCTCTTTTAAACTAATGGGCTTAGTAGAGGCCTCTTTGAAGATGTTATATTTAACTTAAGACCTGGAGAAGGCCTGTGAAAATCTAGGAGAAATTTTCCTTTTGTTTGAGACAGAGTCTAACTCTGTTGCCCAGGCTGCAGTGCAGTGGCACAATCTCTCATTGCAACCTCCACCTACCAAGTTCAAGCAATTCTTCTGACTCAGCCTCCCCAGTAGCTGGGATTACAGGTACACAACACCATGCCCAGCTAATTTTTGTATTTTTAGTAGAGGCAGGGTTTCACCAGGTTGGCGAGGCTGGTCTCGAACTCCTGACCTCAAGTGATCCACCTGCCTGGGCCTCCCAAATGCTAGAATTACAGGCATGAGTCACTGTGCCCAGCCTAGAAGAAATCTTTCTAGGCAGTGAGATCAACCAGTTAGAAGACTTTAATATGCTAAAAAGCTTACATACAGTGAAGAACAGAAAGAGAGCCATTGGAGTTGGAACCTAGTAAGTAAAAGAGACAGTAGTACAAGATGAGGTCAGGAAAGTGTAAAAGGGCCATATCATATGGGTCCTTGCAGGCCTGGGTAAGGATCTGAGATATTATTCTAAGTGTCATAGGAAGGTGTTGATTTCTATAATTAAATCACCTGGTCATTATGGTGTATGAACAGGCAATGAATGAAAGCAAATAAAGTCACATTGCAACTCCCATTTTATAAGAAAAAACTAAAGACCAAGGAGATTAAGTATGTTAATACTTAATTCGTCAACTAGGTCTCATAGTTGACGAATGGAAAAATCCTGACCCAAACCCAGGTCACTGTACTCTCTACACCATCCCTAAGCCACTAACTCCTCTCTGTTCAGCCTTTCTGCTCCCTGCCCCTTTCACCCGAGTAGTGAGTAGTTTCACATTTGTATCTTTGGTTGTATCCTTGGCTTCACATTTTATATTCCAGGCAAGTCCCCCTACATCAATGGAATGGACTAGAAGTCCTCTACTATCCCCTGTACTTACTTAGAAAACACACTGTTAACTAAATCAATAAATTCTCACATCCTTCTGCTCAACCTCACTCATTTACTAACTACAAAATATCTTATGGGGACAAAATGCTAAAAGAGAAATGAAGGGGCTAGCATTCGTAGAAAACACAACTTTCAAGAAGAAAAATTTGACCTCGCCTCAGAAAGAGATTTTGAGTTTCTGGCATCTCTCTTTTTAACCTAATACTGTTACTTTACATGTCAAACTCCCCTTGCAATTTAACTTGCTTCACTTTCTCCCTCACACCATAAGGTGAACAGTTTTTTCAGAATAACTAGGGTTGAGGAGGAAAAAAGACTCCAGAGTACATAAGGTATATTGTCCATGCCATGTTAAAAGGAGAATCAGTATTCTACCCATCTGCACCACGTTTATCAGTTTCTAGTATTTACGACTGATCAAAGCTAACACTTACTGCACACTGTTCTAAGCATTTTACATGAATTATCTCATTTACATGAATTACCTCATCATAATTTTATGGGAGAGGTACTATGATGACCCCATTTTAGAGATGAGAAAACTGAAGCACTGAGTAGTCTGATAATCTGCCCAAGGTTATATGCTTAGTAAGTGGACAAGCCAGGGTCTGAACTCACCTAGCCTGGTTTCTGGCATTCTACACTAGATACAGAATCAGACTACTCTCAAACTTTCTGAGTGGCCCTGAACCTGGAAAAGTTTAGTTGGAACTTACTACTTGGTAAAGAAAAAATAGTGATTGAGCATCCTTTCCAATTAGGTGAACCTCTACATATAAATTTGACCTTAATTATTACATAATACATAATGCAGTACTTATTCAAAGTTTTCTGCTTTGCTGCAAATATGGTTTGGCTTCACTGCAATGTAATTAGAAATAAACTTCAACCCATAAATATTTTACCTGTAAACATTGAAAACCAGTAGAGTTGTTAAATAGTTTTAAAATCTCTACTTTTATTTACTTACCAAAGAAAAAACACATAATGGAATTATTCTCTTCATAGTCATTTTTTAACTTAATGAAAGGAACATTCCTCTGAATTATCATTAACAGCAGTCAAATCATACTGATGTTTATTTTATTTATGAACTCAAAAGAAAAACAGATCCACATTATACTGAGAATAATTTTCCCAATCCATATGAATCAAAATCAGACATATGAGGAAACTGGATATCAAATGCCAGAGGTAAGACCAGACAGCAAAGAGAGACAGAATTTCAAAAGCATGTTGAGAATAATACATCAAACATATTTCTTACCATGAACCACTGACCCAGTCAATCACATGACTCAAAGAGTGGTTATGAACAACTAAACAAAATGTGATGAGTAAGTGGAAATGTAGAAAAACAACATTTAATGACAGAGTGTGCTTATTTATTCCTGTGATAGCAAGTCTTCTGTTTCAAGTGTCTTCTTCAAATACTTTTTTACATTTTAGATAACAGATATTCAAAATATTTCTGCTTGTAGAATAAAATATTACATTATTCTACAATTCTAGTTTTGAAAAGTTCTAAAAATGACATGAAACTTACTTGTGTTTATTACTTTCTTCATGCATTTAACAGATATTTAATAAGTAATTATTATATGCAAGGCAATCTGTTAAGTGTAGTGGGAGATCCCAAAATCAATAAAACAGTTTCATCTCTCAGAAAGGTTAATTTATTATTTATAATTCAGAATAGAAATGATCAATGCTACAAGAGACATTTTTAAAAAATCAAGAAGGGATAAAAAGTGGCATTCGAGCTAACATTTTTTGATAAAGAGAATTTAGTCATGCAAAAACAAAGGAAAGGGCCTTCCCAGTAGGAAAATATTGTGGTCACAGTCACATGTTTGGAAAAGTATTGAGAATAAAAACTGAGACAAGCTATTAAATTTAATGACCAGGAGATCACAGATGATTCTTAAAATGCAGTGTCAACAAAGCAGCAAGGACAAAATCCAGATTAACGGGGGCAAAGGAATGAATGAAAACAATGTGAGAGCCAAAGGGGTATCTCAGAGCTTGTGTAAAAAGGAGAGGAGAGATACCAGACCATAGCTTAAGCTGGTGAGCAGAAAGAATAAAGGTTTTCTTTTTGAGGATGTAAAAAAATAAAATAAAATAACTGGCCAGGCACAGTGGCTCATGCCTATAATCCCATCACTTTGGGAGGCCAAGACAGGAGGACTGCTTGAACTCACGAGTTCAAGATCAGCCTGGGCAATATAGTAAGACCTCTTCTCAGCTAAGAATAAAAAAAAAATTAACTGGGCGTGGTGGTGTGCACCTGTAGAACTAGCTACTTAGGAGACTGAGAAGGGAGGATTGTTTGAGCCTAGAATATTGAGGCTGCAGAGAACTATGATCATGCCACTGCACTCCAGCCTAGGACACAGAGCAAGACCCTGTCACAAAAAAATAAAAATAAAAAAATAACTGGAGTTCATCTACATATACAAGAGAAAAGAATAATTGAAGATGTGGAGTTCTAAGCAAGATGGAGACAATGAGAAAAAAAGTAGAAGAGGAGGGATTATGGTTTGAAATGTCATCTCTCAGTCAACTCTTCCCTCATTCACTCAGATGGGTCATTTTGTCTTCTGGATCTCTGTCTGCTAGAATGCAAGCTTCAGGAAGCAAAGGATTTGTCTGATTTGTTTCCTGCTCTCTCTCCACAACAGGAACACTCCCAAGACACACTGTAGGCAATCAGTAACTATTAGTTAAACTCAAAAATGAATGAATAACACTGCTTTCCTCTAATTTGAAGAATTTAAAGAAGAAATGCTCAAGAGAAAAGGAGGAAAGTTAGGTACAATTCCCACAGAAAGCTACAATAGTAGAAAAGCATCTCCACAGAATGAGAAGGTCAGGCTGAAATTTGCCTTGTTCAGTGGATCTGCCCACTGAAGTGACAAAGCCCAAGCCCACTTGTTCCTTCCCCACATACCAGATGGATAAACATAGAGGCTGAGTTAGGAAACAATGTCAGGGACTGAGGCCCCGTATTCAGGGTGAAGAAAGGAGGAAAGGTGGCTTAAGGAACAATGAGGGAATCTTCAGGGAGCAAGACCCTGTGGGGCTAAAATTGAGTGCATGATGATGCTAAAGACCCACAGATGGGTAGAGAAAAGAAATAGCAAACCTTCCCTGAAGTCAGAATTGGCTTGGGGTTTTAATCATAATTATAAAGGGATGCTGGATTTTGTCAAATGCTTTTTCTGTGTCTATTGAGACAATCATGTGGTTTTTGTTTTTAATTCTGTTTATGTGGTGTACTACTCAGCCATAAAAAGGAATGAAATAATGACATTAACAGCAACCTGGATGATTATTATTATTATTATTATTATTATTATTATTATTATTATTCTAAGTGAAGTAACTCAGGAATGGAAAACCAAATATCCAATGTTCTCACTCATATGTGGGAGTTAAGCTATGAGGATGCAAAGACATAAGAATGATATGCTGGACTTTGGGGACTTGCAGGAAAGGGTGGGGGGTGGTGAGGGATAAAATATTACATGTTGGTACAGTGTACACTGCTCAGGTGATGGGTGCACCAAAATCTCAGAAATCACTACTAAAGAACTTATTCAAATAACCAAACACACCTGTTCCCCCAAAACCTAGTGAAATAAAAAAATAAAAAATTTAAATATGAAAAAATTTAAATTTAAATTAAAAAAAAAAGAATTGGCCCAGGAATAGGGAGTGGGGTGAGTCTGTTGTAAATGGGGTGACCAATGGGTTCCATGAGATAGCACTAGGCATATCAAAAGCAAACAAGTTGAATAAAGGCTACTTCCTTCTAACTTCTACAGATTTCTTTCATTATTTCGTGGAGCCCAAGGGGCTGTTCCTTCCATAGGAGTGATTCATTCTGGGAAGGGCTTCACATCCTTTGTCTGGTTATTCTAGGACCCTCTCCAATTCTCTATTTGTCACATTTTCCTCTAGTTCTGATTACCATTGCCTTTATGTCCTGGTGCTCTTTTGTTACTGTTTCTTCAACATCATTCTTTTTTTTTTTTTTTTTTGAGATGGAGTCTCACTCTGTTGCCCAAGCTAGAGTGCAATGGCACGATCTCAGCTTACTGCAACCTCCACCTCCCGAGTTCAATTAGCCGATTTCTGGCTAATTTTTTTATTTTTAGTAGAGACGGGGTTTTGCCATGTTGGCCAGGCTGGTCTCACACTCCTGACCTCAAGTGATCCACCCACGTCAGCCTCCCATAGTGCTAGGATTACAGGCATGAGCCAACACCATTCAATAATGTATTATCCCCTCCAAAACGGGGAGAGAGGTGGCACAAAACGATGGAAGTATGGAATATAATGCATGTAGGCATTCCTTAGACTGTTCCCCTTTCTCACAAGGCAATAAGCTAACTTGCACAGGTCTTTGTAAGGTATGGACAGTGTGAAAGAGAAGAAATGGGCCAGGTGCGGTGGCTGACGCCTGTAATCCCATCTACTCAGGAGGCTGAGGCAGGAGGATCCCTTGAACCTGGGAGGCAAAGGTTGCAGTGAGTCAAGATCGCGCCACTGTACTCCAGCCTGGGCAACAGAGCAAGACTCCGTCTCAAAAAAAAAAGAGAAGAAATGGCAAATCTGAGAGACATTTAAAGGATGGAATCACAAGTCCTGGGAACAGACTGTAGGGAATAAACAAGAAGTTACAAAGAGAGTTCCAATGTTTTTAGCCCAGAACTTACAAGAAATGTGAATTTACTTTATAGAAACAGCTTTCTTGGCCGGGCGAGGTGGCTCACGCCTGCAATCCTAGCACTTTGGGAGGCCGAGGCAGGCGGATCACCTGAGGTCAGGAGTCCAAGACCAGCCTGGTCAACATGATGAAACCCCATCTCTACTAAAAACACAAAAATTAGCCAGGCGAGGTGGCAGGCGCCTGTAATCCCAGCTACTCGGGAGGCTGAGACAGGAGAATCACTTGAACTCGGGAGGCGGAGGTTGCAGTGAGCCGAGACTGCACCACTGCACTCCAGCCTGGGTGACAGGGCAAGACTCCATCTCAAAAAAAAGAAAAAGAAAAAAAATGGCTTTCTTGGTGAAGAAATATGCTAGAATAGAGTGGGATTGTTTGTTTGGGGAAGGGGTATTTATTTAAAGGTGTCGATAGGATGTCCAGGTGGAGATGCCTATGAGTGGTTGCCATCCAGCCACTGGAGCCCTGAATAATGATGAGACACAGTCATGAATACTTAGTGGTTATCTACACTGAGGCTTGGGGTAGGCAGGATTCTAAGATGGCCACTAAGAGTCCCATCCTCTGGCATATACATCCTGTACAATGCAACGTCACTCTCATAATTATGTCTGTAATCAGTTAATAATGAATTCGTCAAAAAAGAGATTATCTTGAGTGGGCCTGGTCTAACTTTTAAAGGAAGGTGAAGCTCAGAGAGTCATGCTCCTGTTGGCCTTGAAACCCACAACCTCCATGAGCTCTAGAAACTGTATTCTGCCAACAATCTAAATGAGCTTGGAAAAGACCTCTGAGGTCCTGCTGAGAAATTCAGTCCAGCAGATACCTGAATGGCAGCCTTTTAAGACCTGAGCAGAGACTCCATCTAAGCCATTACCAGACAACAGACATACAGAAACTATAAAATCATAGTTTGTGTTGTTGGAAGGCACCTTTCATATTGCATTTCTGATAATCTGTTATGCAGCAACAGAAAACTAACACAAGGGTAAAGCCACTGAAGTGGATAACTAGACTGGATAATTGGAGGGAAAGCAGAGGACAAGGGCAGACCACTGGAGTCAACCAAGGAGGGGACAAAAAAAACAGGTGGGAAGAATAACAGGTGGTGTGATGTCTAAAGGCCAAAGGAGGAGAGTGTTAGAAGGAAGAGTGTTGAATGTATATCAAAGGCATTATCAGTAGCAGGATGGGAGTGTACAGTCTAATGCAAAGCATTAAGAAAATAATTAGTGGGTAGGAAGCAGAAACCTCAAATACTAATAACATATGAAGTTTGGCACTGAAAGAGGAAAGAAATAGAACAACAGTGGAAATGCACAGCCACATCACCAAAAATGGAATCAAGTAAAGGTTATTCATGATGTTACCCTTTCCAGGGCTACACAGACTTTAATAAAAAATTAATAAAGATTCAAAAGCTTTCTCTACAACTAAAGGAATGAAGCTCTCTTAGTGGAATTTCAGGCATTTTCTTAGAACTATTAAGTTACAGAGCTACCCCACATATCACAAGCTCATGAACCAAGTCCCAGCATGAAATCAAAATAAATGAACTTAGACACTCTCCCTACATCTGATCATTCTGATCAACCAAAATCCCAGAATGTAATGGTGAATCTGACGATTACTTGTATGATCCACTGCACAGCTGGCACAGTCCTTCTCTGGCCATGTCACACTGCACTGCTCTCTTGAGCTTCTGTGGAATGGTTCCCAAAATAACAGGGGAGACTCACTAGACTACACAGTACATGATGAAGTTCTTTACTGATGACTCTTCTTAAAGTGATCTATCTCATGGGAGTTCCAGGGAAAGGTGCAAAGCCAGGTGTGGAATAGGACAAGAAATGCATGATTTCAGTGACCAAATGATCCAGCAGGTAAAATACTTGTTACGTGTTTACGCTTCAAGCAAAAATTCATGTAAAGAATACAGGTACATAATGCCAAGGATTGCTATATTAATTAAACAAACTCAGTGATTTAAAAAACAATCTGAAGAATAGCAAGTGAGAGAAAACACATTTTATATTCTCCTATATTAATGCTGTTTTATTTGAAAGTTTTAAAAATCTGGTATGCACATTGTTTTCATTCAGCAAATACTTATTACTTCATTCAGGCACCGTGCTAGGTGCTGAGACAGAATGGTGAAAAGAGATGAATTTTCTGTCCTCATGGAAAAACAGTCTAGTGTAAAAGACACACACTAAACACTATAAAACCCAGTGACTTAGAGGGACGATATGCTGAGATTATAATAATAATACCCAGTGACATGAGGAGTTGAGGGATACAGTCTGATTGAAAACAGGCCTAGAAGACTTACTTCAAACATGAGTTTGCATGACAACTGTGTTATTTTCACACCTCCTTGCCTCTTCCCCAAACTCATACAAAATGCTTTTGTTAAATATAACTGCCATTTTATGGCCATCACTTCACAGGAACAGGAACACTGAGAATATCCCACTGCACACACAAACACCTGGATAATTGTTCCTCTGTTTACTAATGCATCTCACCAGAGAATAAAATCAAGGAAACTGATTTCAGAAATTCACTAACTTACATTACAGTCAGAACTCCTCATCAACAGACCACATGGCACAAACTGGATGGCTTTTAAGATCTAAGCTGCAAGCTATAGACATGTTTGGGCTTTTCAGCATCACCCCGAAGAGACCTCAAAGGTACACTAACACAATCAGCCTTTGATGACATACTATATCATATATCCATATACTCATATGTCCCTAATTCAGCACATTTGCATATGATCTGCATTCTAACATACCCACAACTATATTTTATATGTGAGAAGACTGTAATATGATAAAACCCTTAAGGAGGCACTCTGCTTTGTTGTGTCAATTCTTATATTCATCCAACAATGATCGTTATCTTAGCCATATCTTCCATTCACCCTTTAACCACAATTGGAGGGCTAGACAGTTCTGAAGAGGGCAGAATTTTTTAATCTTTTTTACATCCTCAGCAGTCTGGCGAAAAGGAATTTGGACCCTGATTCAACAGGCCTGAGACCCAGTCTCAGCTCAGCCCTCATTACACTCCCTTGTACAGCAAAGTCCTGTATCTTGAGTCAAGTTTACAAAATAGCACTAACCTCCTCACAGCCTTGTCTGTATGACTTCAGGGTAACATCGTAAAAAGTGCTTCAGAAATACTCAAAAGTAAGAAGAATTGTAAAACATAATTTTAAAAATATCATCCAAGGGAATACACACAAAACAGCTTACTTAGGGTTTTGCTATACAACAATTTTATAATTTCAATAAATTAGACTGACATTTTCCATCTTTCACTAACACAAATAATGCATCCAGGAAAAACAACCCCCCTAGACGGCAAGCCAGGTTTAGTCAGTTTTAGACATTCCAAGTATACTGGCTGTTCTAATTAATCAAAGAATAATTTCTGAACTGCTAATTTTTACCTTATACCAATATTAAACATACATTAAAACACTGTTGATAGCAATACATTTTCATGTGTAAAAAAATAAAAATAAAAAAATTGTTGATTCCAAAAAATACCAGTGAAGCCATTGATTAGACATCTGCAGTTTGACTATAAAATAGCAAAATTGATTTCTAATAAGATTTCCAAGAAGTATTATCAGTTTACTGTCAGAGATTATAAATTGGCAACTGATAAGCATGATTTAGTTCATTAATTTTTTTTTTTGGCCTACATAGTATTTTAAAACCCAAGAGATTTTATATAAAAAAATCAGTTTTCTTCAAAAATTGCAAACCTGGCTACACTGGGGCTAGTGGTGTGCTGCAGCTAGCTTGTACTTGCTCATTGAGCCAATTATTAGTATCTCTTCTAAACATGTGCAGTGACAATCATAGTAGAGGCTTGAAATTAGCTATGTGGGAGTGTTTACACCATGAGAATTGGCAAATGCAACCTGTGACAGTTTGTTGTTGTTGTTTTTCTTGTTTTAATGAGCCAGTTGTTAAACATTTACCAGCACACCACTGCACTGGGATCACAATGTCACGTGGTAGCACATGCTGGAGAGAGTAGTGACTCTCTCCTCAGACAGGATGTGGGCTCTTTAGTCCATATCCATCACCATTTCCTATTGTTTTTCGTCTGACTCAGTTCACTTATTTTAATTACCCGTCTGGCATAGTTAAGCATTTGACTTTGCAACTCCTGGTTTACGGTCAAAACACACATTCAAAACACACTCTTAGATGATAACATGGGGAAAAAAATCAAGTCACTGTGCTTGTTTGAAAGTTTAAAAAATAAAAGGCTTAAATTGAACACTGTTGGACAAATTGAAATACCATCTTTAGAAGCCTTTTTGTTCCTTTTCAAACCATTGTTATTCAAGCACAAAAGAAGACTGTAACATACATTTCAAGTCACAAAGTAAGAAGTCAGCAAAAAACAAATTTTTTAAAAGAGAAGATAATTATTTAATCATATATTTTTAAGAAACAAACTATAAAACCTGGAACTTTTTATTTCTAGTGAAAAAGCCATCATTGCTTCTCAAAAGCAGGTTTTCTTCATTTGTCTAAAAACCTTATACAGATATTTGACGGAACTCTTGAAAACCTGGACCCAAAAAAAAAAAAAATTCCTTCACAAGAGAAACCTCTGATTAAATGAGTATTTCAGTAAGAATGTCTGAACATGAAGCCAGACATGATAGTGGTCAGGAAAATTCTCTTTCAAGTCATCTTAAGTGGATTCCTACACAAATGACTGCAGTGTATCCTGTTCTAATATATAGGTCTGTGTTTCCCACGACAATAATGATTGCACATATCAGTCTCTTCCCCTGGGGCATGAACTTCATAGTCCTACCCACTAAAAGAAAATTATTGTTCAAAAACCACTTCCAAGGTCCTAAGAACAAATACAGATGACAAAATTGAGGAAAGAACAAAGACCAATGGAAGTTCCTAAAACAGTTCCCATCAATGGGTTTTATATTTCTTGACACTGTCCTAACAGTAATCACTTCCACCATTAAAACTATGCAATATGAGCAACTATAAGAAGTCTCTATCCCAATGCACCACTTTAAAAAATCTGTCTTCCTTCCTCTTCCCCTCACTAACCTCACTTTCAGCCTCAGGCCTACTTTAGCATGGTGACTGATCTTTTTTTTTTTTTTAAATCAAGATACTCAAAAATAACAAGTATTTGGAATTCTATCCTAGTCCCCAAATTATAAGGTCAACATTACTTAGCCATGCATGGCTTGTAGCTAACTTCAAGAAAAAAAGGTTAAGGAAACACAAAGGAGGCAAGGAAGGGAGGGAGGATGGTAAGGGAAGGAAGGGAAAGGAAAGGAAGGACATGAACATGTTTTGAGGTTACATGAGACAAAAAAAAAGGCTATGTTTAAAAAACAGAAGGAGGAAAACAATATCATGTGTCTTCTTAGATTCTTAATATAAATTTTGGGCAGGGACAAAATTCAAATACCATTGTTATGAATCATCTTGAAAAAAATTTCGTCTCTGAGTTTTGACATCCTTCATGTATATAGGACATGCTTGAGAATACATTAGAAAGTTCAGGAAATGATGTAGTTTAGAGTCAAGAGCAGTTTGTGGATAGAACCCAAAACAAAACAAGACCCAAAAAAAGAGAATAACAGTTTTATCTGTAGTGGGTAATATGTGCTGGCTGTACTAATTCATGTTGAGCTTTGTTTCAGTGTACTGATTTTCACCAATTTAATGCTAAAGGTCTGGACGTCAGTTACCTCAAGATCTCTTTTAGCGAAAGAGGTCAATGTGCACTGGAGTACTTTTCCTCAAAATGATCAGATTTGCATCACAGCTCACTACCAAAGAGGTCTTTCCTGAACATTCATGTTATCTCAGTTCTCTGCCTACTCTACGAATCAGCCAGAATCCATAAGCTTCACATGGATGTTTACAATAAGAAATACGCCATCAGCATGTTTCATTTAATTTTGGTTGAAGTATTTTAACATGTACATTACCCTAATTGAAATTAAAAAAAAAAAGTAGTAGCAAAGTAAGACTCTTACTTCATAATGGAAGACATCATAATTGCAAGACTATCAAAAAGTAAACGCTTTAGGTAAAAATCAGGCTTTGCTGCAACCAATGGGCTCCTAGGGCAGGACATGCATGGCTAAGGAATGTAGTAATAAGGTGAACATGGACAGAAGAGGGACTGAAGGAAAGAGAAGAAAAAGGAGAAACTAAGGTAGTGGTAATAATAATATAGTCATAAAGCTAACATTTATTTGGTGCTTACTATGTAATGGGCACTGCCATAAGAACTTAACAAAAATTAATTCATTTTAATCCTCAGCAATCCTTGGAGGCAAACACTATTATTATTCCCATTTAGTGAATGAGGAAACTAAAGCATAGAGCATTTCATGACTTGCTTGAGGGTCATAGCTACTTAGCAGTATATTGAGGATTTAAATCAATGTAGTTTGGCTCCAGAGTCCATGCTCCTAACCACTACTCTAGAGGCCTATATAGGATGGTTACCAAATAGAAAGAAGTGGGTTCAACAATAAGCTCGAAATCAATTACACACACACAAACTCACACACACACGAAAGAGAGACTAAGGTTTTCCTAACCACTACCCTAGAGGCCTATACAGGAAGGTTACCAAATGGAGAGAGAAGTTAATTCAACAATAAGCTTAAAATTAATTACACACACACACACACACACACACACACACACACACACACACGAGTCACTCACTCTGTCTCTCTCCCTTCCCCCTCTCTCTGAGATTTTGCCTTATAAGGGAAAAAAAAATTGCATTGCATTGAAATTAAAATATTCTCCTACTAATAACTACAATATAAAATGTAATATGTACTTGACAACAAGTAACACGTGCTATTACAAACATTAGAAAAGAACACAAAAAGCCTTCTCCAGAAACATGGGTACACAACATTTTGACCACCAAAGAGATCCCATTTGTAGGGCAGCCCAAGAGCACACAGTGCCATCCAGCGATAAAGTAGGTGAAGCACGTGTTCATCCTCTTCTGCAAGGGAATCGAATATTTAACTTTAGTCTTTTCAATAAGCAATTCAGAATTTTCACATAAAAAAAGGAAACTAGCATAAGTAATAACCTATCTTTTATTTTCCTATGACTTGCACAAAATTACCTTACATTTAAATTCTCCACTATTTCTTAATTAAGTATATAAATTCAGACAAGACCAACCCAAACTACTAACTTAAGGCATCCAAACTATTAACAGCATCTCAGTCGCCCAACAAGGATATATTATCATCATATAGGGTACTTTTGTGCTGCCTAACATGACTTTTCAATTAGTGTGTTTTGCAGAGTTCAGAAACAGTCACTGATTAAGGCTGAAAGCACCTGCCCTACACATGGCAAAGTAAATCATGACTAGTTCTGCCATCAGCAGCACCTACACTACAGAACCTCCAAAAAGAAACGGATGCAGCAATTAAGCATATGGTAGAGGAGAGATAAGGGGGTGTAAGGAGAAGAACTGGGCAGGCGTTAAAAAATGCAAAATTTATCTATGCACCTAAATAGGCAATTATTTTTACAAAATTCTCATACAGACAATGTTTACATTATGACATAACTAAATTCTAAAGTTTAGTTTTCATCCGAAGCCACAACATTATGGCCAATTATACCACTAAAAGAAAATATTTATTTATGTCCCTGGAAGAAATTCAAGAAACATTCATTAGTGATTTTTTCTTTTATTTGTTTGTTTGTTTATTTTTGGAGACAGAGTCTTCCTTTATCACCCAGGCTGGAGTGCAGTGGCACAATCTCAGGTCACTACAAACTCCATCTCCCAGGTTCAAGTGATTCGCCTGCCTCAGCTACCCCAGTAGCTAGGATTACAGGCGTGCGCCACCATGCCCAGCTAATTTTTGTATTTTTAGTAGAGATGGGGTTTCACCATGCTGGTCAGGCTGGTCTCGAACTCCTGACCTCAGGTGATCCGCCTGCCTTGACCTCCCAAAGTGTTGTGATTACAGGCGTGAGCCACCACACCTACCCTGTGAGTTCTTTAAATGTAATTTTTTTTCTAAAACACTTACCAAACTTTTCATAGTAGTTATCACTAAGCAGTGGAAATGCAAAAAAAAAATTTACTTATTAAATTATACATTTGTATCATTTTGGCATTTTTTTCTAATATGAATTTCTTTTGTTAAAGATGTGAAAAAGTACTATGCTCCATACTTTTACAGTCATAATGAAGAAACACTGAAAGATAAGACTTTGTCTCTATTTTCTGTATATCTGTTACACATTTCAATCATTTGTGTAAATGATTTGCACGTACACTAATAAAACACAGTTTCTGGTTAATTTAACAATGCCCTTCACCACAGAACTACTTCAGAATCTAAGCTTTTTGCGCAGCATATTTTCCAACTGACAGCTAAGCTAGCTTTTAAATTTTCATTTTTCAAAGTGCCGAGATTAATAATGCATCAACAGGGCCAGGCACAGTGGCTCACACCTGTAATCCCAGCACTTTGGGAGGCTGAGGTGTGCGGACCACCTGAGGTCAGGAGGCCGAGACCAGCCTGACCAACATGGTGAAACCCCATCTCTACTAAAAGTACAAAAACTAGCCGGGCGTGGTGGTGGGCACCTGTAATCCCAGCTACTTGGGAGGCAGAGGCAGGAGAATCACTTGAACCTGAGAAGCGGAGGTTGCAGTGAGCCGAGATCACAATGCCACTGCACTCCAGCCTGGGTGGCAGAGTGAAACTCCGTCTCAAATCATCATCATCTTCATCATCATAACGCATCTATGGGAAGTGAATATGATTTAAAAGACTGGTATGTAAACTCTGGAACCAATATGTGACCAGCGGAATCTAACTTGAGGTTCATGTCTATGGCCATTGGAATGTCCCTCTCTGCTGCTGCTTCCTTTCAGGACAAGGGCTTCAGATGAAGAGCTCCTAAACACTCCTAAAGACTACCAGTTACACAGGTAAGCTGCTGTTATTCACTTAGTCCATATCTTCGTTGCCTCAGTTGTGTTCATTGTATCCACACAGTTATCAAGCCTTAAAGTTCTGTCTAGGCCAGACGCGGTAGCTCAAGCCTGTAATCCCAGCACTTTGGGAGGCTGAGGCAGGCGGATCACCTGAGGTCAGGAGTAGGCAAGACCAGCCTGGCCAGCATGGTGAAACCCCGTCTCTACTAAAAATACAAAAAATAGTGGGGCGCCATAGTGCGTGCCTGTAATCCCAGCTACTAGGGAGGCTGAGGCAGGTGAATCGCTTGAATCTGGGAGGCGGAGGTTGCAGTGAACCAAGATTGTGCCACTGCACTCCAGTCTGAGCAACAGAGCGAGACTCCAACTCAAAAAAACAAAAAAAAAAGCTCTTTCTAAATCACTGTATGTTCTTTTAGTCCCCTGTCCTGAGGTAGCCTGTAGAGCAAAGACATTAAGTACAGAACTATCCCCCAGACAAGCCAAGAAAGTTGCTACAATTACAACTTCAGTTTTGATTAAAAATTATTTGGGGAAAGTCAATGCCATTTAATTTTAGGAGTATCAAATGATAGTATTAGTGGAACCATCCAAGAAGCCTCTCTACATAAGAGACACACCTTGCAGGTTTACCCTAAAACACACTTTCTTTTTAAATTGTAACCCCTGGGTCTACTGCATCAGAGTTATCTGGGGTGCTACTCCAAAATGCAGATTCCTGAATCCTGCCCCAGACTGAGTGGATCTCAATGCTTGCGTGTGAGGCCCAGGAATCAGTTTTTCAAAAAGCTCACTGGTACTTTTATACATCATAAGTTCATGAATTATTCTGTGGGACAGCAGTTTTCAAACTTTGCTGCCCATCAGAATCATCCGGAGAGATTTTTAAAACCTCAGTACACAGACCATGCCCTATACCAGTTAAATTAGAATCTCTGGGGATGGGAAAGAGACAGCAGAAATTCTGAAAACTCCACAGGTGATTCCAATGGGCAGCCAACGTTGAGCACTGGTGTTGTGAAGGACCAAGGTACAGCTTAGAGACCAAGTTGAGTCCTCCTGAGCGTCAAAGCACACTCAACTTGAGACTTTTAACAGTAGCAACAACAACAAAATGGTTAATACTCACTTTTTCATAGTGACAATAAGACCTAACAAGCTGCCATAAAAATCTTAAGTATGGTATAAACACAGAAAAATTCTCATTACCAAATATGACTACATACAATTAAAAAAAAAGTTTTCAACACTTTTAAACAAACAAAAATGCAAATCATTAATTCCAGCCTCCATTGACAGAAAACTTATGCTCTAAATACAGCTCTGAACCTGTCTTCTAGATCGGTTTCATTAAATAATATGATGAAGTGACCAATATGGTTTTTTTCATGACGTTACATACCAATCTGCAACAGCTTGGGGATAGTTAGAAAATACAGAAGTAGAATGTGTATCAGAATAAACTAAATTTCAGATTCATTGAGCTGATATCTCAAGTCAAGAGCTTCTGTAGTTAAAAGACTGAAAGATGGATGCACCTGATTTTCCCTCAGGGGCTTACAAGATAAGATAGTGCATTATTAAACCTGACAAAACATATCTGACTATACCGCACCAGAAACTACAGTCACAGAATTTTAAAAGTATGTCTTTACTTAATGAAGTACAAATTTCAAACTCAAACTGGGCCTACAGACTTAGCAGAAGGCAAAAGGAGAATGTACTCATTTTACTATTGTGACCTGGCTTGAGTTCAATAGAATCAAAGATATAAAAGAATTACAGAGCTGTCTGGTGGAAAGGAAATCATCATTTCATAAAGGACTCAATGACTTACATGATTTCAAATCATGCTTTAAGTGTCTGCCGCTTCCTTTAAAGAAAACCTCAAAATGCATCTGAATTGTCGTCTATCCTGTAAGTGTGGTTCAGTTTCAGGAAGAACTGATTGAACTGAAAATAACTATCCCACCAAGAAGACAGTGTTTCTGGAACTTTAAAAAATACAGACTCTAGAGCAAGGCTGAAATTTCTTACAATTGTCTCTCAACAATGTGTTAATCCCCTGTCCCTATGAAAATCCACCTAAAATATAAAACTGCTGAAATTAAAAATAAGTACAACTCCACCAGCAATGTAAAGCTTGAATCAGAACTGATAAAGACCTTCATTTGTACAGAATGTATGTATATACATATGGTATATAAAACCAAAACTGTCTGTAGCCACCTCCACCTGCTAAGGTGGTGAATTGGTTTCCCGTTACTGCTGTAACAAATTGCCCCTAAACTTAGTGGCTTCTAACAAGACAAATTTATTATTTTATAATCCTGGAGGTCAGAAGTCTGAAATCACTCCGCATGGGCTAATGTCAAGGTGTCGACAAAGCTGGTTCCTTCTGGAGGCTCTCAAGTGAGAATCTGTTTCCTTGCCTCTTTAAGCTTCTAGAGGCTGAGTGCATATGTTAGATGTGTGACCTCATTCCTCAAATCACTTCAACTTCTTGCTACCATTATCACATCGCAAACTATAAGACTCCCCTCTAATCTGTGGTTTCACTTTCCACTTTCAACTGCAATCTAGAAATAGGTGAGCATAGTACATATTGTAATGATATACTGAGACAGACCACATTCACATAACTTTTATTACTATATATATATTTTTTTATTTTATTATTATTATACTTTAAGTTTTAGGGTACATGTGCACAATGTGCAGGTTTGTTACATATGTATACATGTGCCATGTTGGTGTGCTGCACCCATTAACTCGCCATTTAACATTAGGTATATCTCCTAATGCTATCCCTCCCCCCTCCCCCCACCCCACAACAGTCCCCAGAGTGTGATGTTCCCCTTCCTGTGTCCATGTGTTCTCATTGTTCAATTCCCACCTATGAGTGAGAACATGTGGTGTCTGGTTTTTTGTCCTTGCAATAGTTTGCTGAGAATGATGGTTTCCAGTTTCATCCATGTCCCTGCAAAGGACATGAACTCATCATTTTTTATGGCTGCATAGTATTCCATGGTGTATATGTGCCACATTTTCTTAATCCAGTCTATCACTGATGGACATTTGGGTTGGTTCCAAGTCTTTGCTATTGTGAATAGTGCCGCAATAAACACACGTGTGCATGTGTCTTTATAGCAGCATGATTTATAATCCTTTGGGTATATACCCAGTAATGGGATGGCTGAGTCAAATGGTATTTCTAGTTCGAGATCCCTGAGGAATCACCACACTGACTTCCACAATGGTTGAACTAGTTTACAGTCCCACCAACAGTGTAAAAGTGTTCCTATTTCTCCATATCCTCTCCAGCACTTGTTGTTTCCTGACTTTTAATGATCGCCATTCTAACTGGTGGGAGGTGGTATCTCATTGTGGTTTTGATTTGCATTTCTCTGATGGCCAGTAATGACAAGCATTTTTTCATGTGTTTTTTGGCTGCGTAAATGTCTTCTTTTGAGAAGTGTCTGTTCATATCCTTCACCCACTTTTTGATGGGATTGTCTGTTTTTTTCTTGTAGATTTGTTTGAGTTCATTGTAGATTCTGGATATTAGCCCTTTGTCAGATGAGTAGGTTGAGAAAATTTTCTCCCATTTTGTAGGTTGCCTGTTCACTCTGATGGTAGTTTCTTTTGCTGTGCAGAAGCTCTTTAGTTTAATTAGATCCCATTTGTCAATTTTGGCTTTTGTTGCCATTGCTTTTGGTGTTTTAGACATGTAGTCCTTGCCCATGCCTATGTCCTGAATAGTACTGCCTAGGTTTTCTTCTAGGGTTTTTATGGTTTTAGGTCTAACATGTAAGTCTTTAATCCATCTTGAATTAATTTTTGTATAAGGTGTAAGGAAGGGATCCAGTTTCAGCTTTCTACATATGGCTAGCCAGTTTTCCCAGCACCATTTATTAAATAGAGAATCCTTTCCCAAAGCTTGTTTTTCTCAGGTTTGTCAAAGATCAGATGGTTGTAGATATGTGGCATTATTTCTGAGGGCTCTGTTCTGTTCCATTGATCTCTATCTCTGTTTTGGTACCAGTAGCATGCTGTTTTGGTTACTGTAGCCTTGTAATATAGTTTGAAGTCAGGTAGCATGCTGCCTCCAGCTTTGTTCTTTTGGCTTAGGATTGACTTGGCGATGCGGGCTCTTTTTTGGTTCCATATGAACTTTAAAGTAGTTTTTTCCAATTCTGTGAAGAAAGTCATTGGTAGCTTGATGGGGATGGCATTGAATCTATAAATTACCTTGGGCAGTATGGCCATTTTCATGATATTGATTCTTCCTATCCATGAGCGTGGAATGTTCTTCCATTTGTTTGTATCCTCTTTTATTTCATTGAGCAGTGGTTTGTAGTTCTCCTTGAAGAGGTCTTTCGCATCCCTTGTAAGTTGGATTCCTAGGTATTTTATTCTCTTCGAAGCAATTGTGAATGGGAGTTCACTCATGATTTGGCTCTCTGTTTGTCTGTTATTGGTGTATAAGAATGCTTGTGATTTTTGTACATTGATTTTGTATCCTGAGACTTTGCTGAAGTAGCTTATCAGCTTAAGGAGATTTTGGGCTGAGACAATGGGGTTTTCTAGATATACAATCATGTCATCTGCAAACAGGGACAATTTGACTTCCTCTTTTCTTAATTGAATACCCTTTATTTCCTTCTCCTGCCTAATTGCCCTGGCCAGAACTTCCAACACTATGTTGAATAGGAGTGGTGGGAGAGGGCATCCCTGTCTTGTGCCAGTTTTCAAAGGGAATGCTTCCAGTTTTTGCCCATTCAGTATGATATTGGCTGTGGGTTTGTCATAGATAGCTCTTATTATTTTGAGATACGTCCCATCAATACCTAATTTGTTGAGAGATATTATAATATATTGTTACAATTGCTCTATTTTACCATTGTT
Organism: Homo sapiens; assembly: GCF_000001405.40. Lineage (NCBI taxonomy): Eukaryota > Metazoa > Chordata > Mammalia > Primates > Hominidae > Homo > Homo sapiens. Next base: position 40,289,427 of record NC_000007.14, on the reverse strand, counting down.
CAAATTAGGCCATATTCAAATATTTTACCATATTGTTCAACTCCTATACATGCATACCTAGGAAAAAAACACAGTATTTATAGGGTTTGGTACTAACCATGGTTTCAAGCATCCACTGGGGATCTTAAAATGTATCCCCCACAGGTAAGGAGAGACTATTGTAATGATTCTGATACTCTCGCCTCTCTCTTACAAGAACCTTTTTTTTTTAGTTTCATTAGGCCCACATGGATAATCCAAGATAATCTCCCATCTCAAGATCTTTAATTTAATCACATCTATGATGTTCCCTTTACCATGTAAGGTGGCATATTCATAGGTTCTGGGGATAAGGACGTTGACATCTTTGGAGACTATTTTCAGCCTACCACAGGTGATAATACGGAAGGAGGAAAGAGACATAGTAGTGGTTAAACATTATTTTTCACTTTCAACATGAGTGGGGAAGGAAGAAAGAAAAGACTGAAATTTCAAAGCATCAGCCCATTCTTCTGTGTTCTAAGACTATTCTAGCCATTACAATAGCCACTGCCCACATGTGGCTATTGAGACTTTGATGGCAATATTCCAAATTAAGATGTGTTGTAAATGTACAACTACATATAAAACTTGAAGGACATCATATAAGAAAAAAGTAAAATAATTATTAATTTTATACAAATTTTACATTTTGAAAGGAAAATATTTTGGATATATTTGGTTGAATAAAATATATAATCAAAATTAATCTCATCTGTTCCTCTTTATTTTTTTAATGGGGCTAATAGGGAATTTTAAATTATAGGTGTCGGTAATAAGCACACTCAAAAAAGATGAAATAAAGCCTTCTGCCATAAAAGCAACAAGAACACTGGCAAAAATTCCCAAAATCAAATTTTTGAAAACTCTGGAAATTAACTAAAGCCTTGCAATAACTGATGAGTTTTTATCCAAGAAAAAAAAACCCTGAATTTTAATAAGACCGGCAAGCTTTGTGACATCTTAACTTGCTGTGTTAACATCCACTTCTACCAGGCTTGAGAACCAACAGCCTCATTAGTAACTAAATACTAGCAGCCTGGCAACCACAAAATTCAGCAGAATGAGTTTAAAGTTTAGTGGGGGAACAACCCAGGCTTTGTTTTCTTTTTTTTTTAAGCTTCAATGATGAATTCTACCAAACAATAAAAGAAAAATTAGTACTAATTCTTCACAAACTCTTCCAAAAGCAAGGAGAGGAGGGAATACTTTTCAACTCTTTCTATGAGGCAAATGTTACTCAGACACCAAAAACATCATAAGAAAACTACAGACCGTAAAGACCAATATCCCTTATGAATATAAACCTAAGAATCCTCAGCAACATACTAGCATACTGAGTACAGCAATACATACAAAGATCATACAACTTGACCAACTGAAATTTTTCCAAGGGTTGAAAAATTGGTTCAATATACAAAAATCAATGTCAATTGTTAATCAATCAATAACCAAATAACATATAAATGGGATAAGTGACACAAAACAAATCATCATGTCAATAGTCAGAGAAATAGCATTTACCAAAATTCAACACTCTTTCATGATAAAAACAGTCAGTAAACTAGGAACAGAGGGAACTTCCTCGACCTGTTAAAGAGTATTAAGGAAAGCCAGGCACTATGGCTCATGCTTGTAATCCCAGCACTTTGGGAGGCCAAGACAGGAGGATCACTTGAGCTCAGGAGTTTGAGACCAGCATGGGCAACATACTGAGACCCCATCTCTATTAAAATTCAAAAAAATTTAGCTGAGCATGATGGCATATGCGTGTAGTCCAAGCCACTCAGGGGGCTGAGGTGGGGGATTGCTTGAGACTGGGAGTTCAAGGCTGCAGTGAGCCATGATCATGCCACTGCATTCCAGCCTGCGTGACAGACAGAGACCTTGACTTTAAAAAAAAAAAAAAGAGTATCAAGGGAAAAAACACAGTTACATCATACATAATGGTGAAAGACTGAAATGTTTTGCCTTGAGATCAGGAACAAGAAAAGGATGCCTGCTCTTGCCACTTCCATTCAACATTGTACTGGATTTCTGTCCAGGGCAATTAGGCAAGAAAAAGAAATACAATGCATTCATATTGGAGAGGAGAAAAGTAAAACTATCTTATTTTACAGATGATGTAATCTCACACAGGAAAAATCCTACAGAATCCACTAAAATACTCTTAGAACTAAATAATGAGTCCAGCAAGGTTGTAAGATTAAAAAAAATGAATATATGATCACATTAAGTTCTATCGCTCAATGCTGATCACAATAATTCAACTTTAGAGAATATAAACAGCCTATGTAATGCAGCACCTATGCCAAGATCAGCAAACTTATAGCACCCTCCCAGTGTTGCACCTCAGCAGGCAAGGATAATAATCACGGCACTCTTTTCCAGAAGCCATGTCAACCTTCTCAATACCACCCTCCAGTCAGGGTCCAAGTGACAGAAAGATTAAAGCTGTCTGCAGTCTTGTGTTGCTTCTACTACCATTCCACCAAAACAACACTAGTAGTCAACTCCGGCTCTACAGGCTTGGCCCAATGTCCTGCCAAGAAAGTCCCTCTTTCCCAGCCAAACAAACAAACAAAAAACAGCCTGTTACTGATTCCTTACTTTGAATGGACCTACTAACTATAGGACATAGGGTTATTATTTGAAATGCCACACCCAATGTTTATTCTTCACGTGAGTATGAAGAAATGGCCAGATTTAGTACCAATCACAACTGCTAGTAGAAGGCTTTCAGTCAGTCACACCAAACAATAAATGCAAAGGCCTGAAGCAGAAGAAAGTTTCACATGTTCTACAATGTTTAACCACTACTATGTCTACCCTTTTCTCCTTCCTTATTACCACCTGTGGTAGGCTGAAAATAGTCTCCAAAGATGTCAATGTCCTTATCCCCAGAACCTATGAATATGCCACCTTACATGGTAAGGGGAACATCATAGATGTGATAACATTAAAGATCTTGAGATGGGAGATTATCCTGGATTATCCATGTGGGCCTAATGAAACTTAAAAAAAGGGGTTCTCCTAAGAGAGAGGCGAGAGTATCTTGACTTGGCTAGTCCTGTGGCGGGCTCCTTCTCATCCCCGCAATTTTAACTCCTTAAAGTAATCTTTCCTACCCAGCCTAACACAAGTGCCCCTGTTATCTTTAGCAAACCCTGTGTTTCCTAATGTACATTTATTACTAATTACTTGTTTGTTGTCTATATCTCCAACTACAATAAAAGTTCCATGAGGCAAGAAACTTGCTGGCTTATCTATCATTCATTGTATACTCTGGCACATAATAGATGAGGAGCAGGGATGGATGGTTGGATTCTGTTTGTACAGACGCAACTTAATTTCTTACTTCCTAAGTGAATATCAATATGTAAAAGGAATTAGATCAGAATAATACCCTTGGAGGTGAAAATATATTTAGCATATGGAATGGATCACAATAGAAAAGTAAATTAAAGCATTTTAGAAGAATTTCTCTGACAAGGGTTTAAACTAAAGCAGCTACCTTTTAACTATTATTCATCTAGAAAATGAAATCAACCATAATGTTAGATTGCTAAGCTCTCCAGGTAACTAAGGTCTGATTATCATTGCTGGTATATAATGACTCTAGCCGACAAACCAATTATAAACATTAAAAAAGTACTCACCGTTATACCTCATACCCATTCTGTGAAGAACTAAAGTAATTTTCCTAGAATTACACCTCGCCACAATGCTTGATGCAGGTGGTTTCTTTATCATTTAGCTACAATGATGGCATAATAGTTGGGACCAAAGAGACATGATCTAGTTTACAGACATGGTCCATAAATTAAGATGGGTAAATAGTCACCACTGATTGATTAGCCAATACACAAGGACACGATGGCAACATTTTATTCTAAATAAAATTCTTGCCCCCCCCCGAAAAAAGAAAAAAACAAGAATAAATAAATAAATAAATAAAATTTAAAATTCCCTGACCTGAGAAAGTACAAAGATAAAGGTGAAATTAATTAACTTAGTAATAAAAACAAATTGTTCTAACTCTGAAAGTAGACAATATATATGATTCCGATATCATTAAACACAGCTTTAGGAATAGTCCATTAAATTCATGATTCTACTAGGTTCTCCAAGGACAAAATCTAAACTCAGGAAATACATGTTAACATCAATAGATCTTTCCATTTCTATTTCTTTTATATCTTGAACTTAATTATTTTTCTATTGTTTAAGAACATTTGAAAGCTCCAAAGTGTTTTGAAGTATCTAATAAGAAAATTAAGTTACATCACCATAAAACATTTCTCCCCATTTTATTCTTTTTTCCTTTGGGATATTCTCCCACTAGTAATTATCAATTATCACAAGTTGAAGACCTGATTTTCCTCATTTGTAGTTCATATCATATAAAAATATGCAATGCCCATGAATATAACTAATGACTTCAGTTATACAGAACCAGAGCATGTTCCCAATTCACTTATATTTCGCTCAGTTTTCCTCAAGAAGACAACAAACCATATTTTGTATTGAAGTCAATTTGCATTTAACCTAACCAATAGCATTACTTCTTTGGAAGAAATCTGATTTTTCCTTTTTTGGTTTGTCTTTAACTTCCTAATTATTCATCTTAACAACAGATCCTTTTTTTTCCCAATGTTTTAAATTGATGATTTTTTATTTAATTGAAAATAAAATTATAAATGTTGATAGTACATATAATGTTTGATCTATGACTACACTGTGAGATGACTAAATCAAGCTAGTTAACATACACATCACCTCATTTTTTTTTTTTTTTTTTGGAAATGGAATCTTGCTCTGTCATCCAGGCTGGAGTGCAGTGGTGCAATCTCAGCTCACTGCAACTGCTGTCTCCCGGGTTCAAGCAATTCTCCTGCCTCAGCCTCCAGAGTAGCTGGGATTACAGGTGCCCGCCACCACACCTGGCTAATTTTTGTATTTTTAGTAGAGACGGGGTTTCACTAGGTTGGCCAGGCTGGTCTCGATCTCCTGACCTCAAGTGATCCATCTGCCTCAGCCTCCCAAAGCACTAGGATTACAGGCATAAGCCACCATGCCTGTCCTTCATCACCTCATATACTTGTGTTTTAATGATAAGAACATTTAAGATCTAATCTCTTACGAAATTTAAAGTACACATTAACTCTAGTCACCTTGCTGTACAATAGATCTCCAGAACTTATTCATCCCATCTAACTGAAACTTTGCCCCTTTGACCATCATCTTCCCCTGCCCCCACCTCCAACCCCCAGCCCCTGGCAACCACCATTCTAGTCTCTGCCTCTATGAGTTCAACTTTTTCAGATTCCACATATATACGAGACCATGTGATATTTTTCTTTCTATGCCTGACTTATATCACTTAGTCCTGCAGGTTCATATGTCTTGTTGCAAATGACAGGATTTTCTTCATTTTTAAGGCTAAACCAAATTACATTGCATATATATAACACATTTCTTTATCTATTCATCTGATTATTTACATTTAGATTGATTCCAATGCTGCAGCGAACATGAAAATGCATATATTTATTCAACATACTGATTTCCTCACCTTTGATATATTCTCAGAAGTGGGATTGTTAGATCATATGGTAGTTCTACTTTTAATTCTTTTGAGGAACCCCCATACTGTTTTCCATAACGGCTATACTAATTTACATTCCCACTAATAGTGTGTAAGGGTTCCTTTTTCTCCACACCCTCACCAACACTTGTTATTATCTCTCTTGCTGATAATAGCAATTCTAACAAGTTTGAGGTTGTGGTTTTAATTTGCATTTTCCCTGATGATTCATAGTGTTGGACATTTTCTCAGATACTTGTTGGCCACTTGTATGTCTTGTTTTAAGAAACGTCTGGCCAGGCGCGGTGGCTCATGCATGTAATCCTAGCATTTTGGGAGGCCAAGGTGGGTAGATCACCTGAGGTCAGGAGTTTAAGACCAGCCTGGTCAACATGGTGGAACCCCGTCGCTACCAAAAATACAAAAATTAGCTGGGCATGGTGGCCCGCAGCTGTAATCCTGGCTACTTTGGAGGCTGAGGCAGAAGAATGTCTTGAACCTGGGAGGCAGAGGTTGCAGTGAGCTGAGATGGCACCACTGCACACCAGCCTGGGTGACAGAGCAAGACTCCGTCTCAAAAAAAAAAAAAGAAAAAGAAAGAAATGTCTATTCAGGTCGTTTGCCCAAATTTTAATGGGGTGAACTGTTTGGGTTCCTTATATATTTTGGATAACAACCCCTTATCAGATATATGCTTTGCAAATATTTTCTCCCATTCTGTAAGTTGTCTCTTCACTCTGTTGATTGTTCCCTTTGCTGTGCAGAAACTGTTTAGTTTGATGCAATCTTGTTTGTCTAGTTTTGCTTTCATTGCCTGTGCTTTTTGGGCTCATATCCAAATATCTTCACCAAAAAAAAAAGTCAAGAAGCTATTTCCCTATGTTTTATTCTCATAGTCTAACAGTTTAGATCTTATGTTTCAGTCTCTAATCCATATTATTTATTTATTTACATTTAGAGATAGGGTCTCGCTCTGTCACCCAGGCTGGAGTTCAGTGGCATGCTCATAATTCTATGTAACCTCTAATTTCTGGGCTCAAGCAATTCTCCTACCTCAGCCTCACATGGTTGTGACAGGTGCTCACAACCATGCCCGGGTAATTTTTGTATTTTTTTGTATAGACAGGGTCTCATTATAGTGGCCATGCTGGTCCCAAACTCCTGGCCTCAAGTGATACTCCTGCATGCTGGGATTACAGGCCACTGCACTGGCCCCTTTAATCCATTTTAAGTTGATTTTTGTATATAGTGTAAGATAAGGGTCCAACCTCATTCTTCTGCATCTGAATATCCAGTTGGTTTTTTTGTTTGTTTGTTTGTTTGTTTGTTTTTGTTTTTGTTTTTTCAGTATTTTTGAGACAGCGTCTAGCTCTGTCACCCAGGCTAGAGTGCACTGGCGCAACCTCAGCTCACTGCAACCTCCACCTCCCGGGTTCAAGCGATTCTTGTGCCTCAGCCTCCCAAGTAGCTGAGACTACAGGTGCATGCCACCATGCCCGGCTAATTTTTTTATTTTTAGTAGAGATGGAGTTTCACTACATTGGCCAGGCTGGTCTCAAACTTCTGACCTCAAATGATTCGCCCACCTTAGCTTCCCAAAGTGCTGGGATTACATGCATGAGCCACTGCACCTGGCCAGTCAATTGATCTTTGACAAAGGTGCCACAATACACAATAGGGAAAGTACAGTCTCTCCAATAAATTGTATTGGTAAAACTGGATATTCAGGCTGGGTGCGGTGGCTCATGCCTGTAATCCCAGCACTCTTGAGGTCAGGAGTTCGAGAACAGCCTGGCCAGCATGGTGAAACCCTGTCTCTACTAAAAATACAAAAAGTAGCTGGGTGTGGTGGTTTGTGCCTATAATCCCAGCTACTTGGGAGGCTGAGGCAGGAGAGTCATTTGCACCTGGGAGGCAGAGGTTGCAGTGAGTGAGATTATGCTGCTAAACTGGACAGCCTGGGTGACAGATTGAGACCCTGTCTCCAAAAAAACATCTAAAACAAACAAACAAAAAATCAATTGCCTGTAACTGTGTGTATTTATTTCTGAGCTTTCTATGCTGCTCCTTTGGTCTACATGTCTGTCTTCATGCCAATGCCATGCTGTTTTGATTACAATAGTTTTGTATTATATTTTGAAATCAAGAAGTATAATGCCTCCAGCTTTGTGTTTTTCACCTGAGACTGCTTTCGATTCATTAACAGAATGAAGGATAAAAATTATATGATTGTCTCAGTGAATACAGAAAAAGCATTTAGCAATATTCAACATCTTCTCATGATAAAAACTTACAATAAATTAGGTATAGAAGGAATGTACCTCAACACAATAAAAGCTACATATTACAAGCCCACAGCTAGTATCATACCCAACTTTCTGCTATAACCTTCTATTTTTCGTTCTCCCTTAAAGGAAGAAAAAACAAAACTCCCTTTGAGGAGTTCTCTTAATTTCCTTAGTCATAGACTGTGCTGCCTCTCTACTCTTTCATCCTATACTCATGCTTCAACACAATCTCAGCTTTCAGCTCTACTTCCTTCCCAGATACACAACTGCTTTCCTCACAGATTTGTACATTCACGGGCTTTTCTCAAGGTAATTCTTCTAGAGCTGATCTATCAATTATGCACAGTAGGCACAATGCTTAAGACCCACAAGACTTTAGGGGTACACAAAAATGTTTCAATTTTCATTTCATTTCAAATCAGAAAAAAAGAGTGTAATAATAATAAATGCAGAATAATGAATTATCTTCATCTTTATACCAATGCAGTTATAGAATGTAATTTTTAATATTTTTATGAAGGAAAGAACCCACAAAGGCAAAAGTTCCCAGGGCCCACGGAAGTCATAATGGGCCCCTTCTTTTAAGTCAGCCTAGTCCCAGATCTCTCCCCACTCAAAACTCGTCCATTCTAGCCTCATCGGCAAGACCCGCACCAGAAGTAACAATACGGGTACTCATCAAAACCTGATTAATACTGATGGTTACATAACCCACTAAACTTACTAAAATCATTAAGTTGTCATTTTTATGATATGTAATATATACCTCAATAAAATTGTTTAAAAAAATGATACAGAGTTGCTTAAAAAAGCAGAAACACAGGTATATCTAAGGACACAAAACAATGAATTTTAGATTACTTGCTTGAGATTCAAAAGTTTATCAGTCAAAATGATAAGAATTAAAATTGTTTCTACTTGAATATGTTCATGTAATATGATCAATGTACATGTGTGAGTAAAGGATGGTCACATCAAAAGTGACAATATATTCTATATATGCAAATAATTATGGTGCTAAAAAAACTAACTCATTGTAGTAGTAATTAAGGGAGCCTGGTTGCAATTAAGTACAGTAAGGACATTAAAACTTCCAAAAGATATTTCTGTAGGCCACAACAGAAGAATAGAGCAACAGAATAAGCAGAACCACATCCAAACCCGCTTCCTTGTTATTTACCAATATCATCTAAAGAACACTGTTTAGATGCTGATGTTAGTTGTCTTGACTGGACAAATTTAAATCATATTCAGACAAAAAAATCAAAAGAATTTTTGACAAGGGTTGAAAGTTTATAGCCTTAAAACTATAAAAACTGTGGTGCCCACTACAAACCACATCCTGGCAATTGTCATGTCTCTACAAGGAACTACTTGAAATGGTTTTGTTGTGGCTGAGGCAATCATTTCTGAGTTAATAATTAGCTACTATTCCAATCAGGTGTAAATTGTCTTTTTTACACTAGATCACTTTTAAGAGGAATATAACAATTTCATTTTTAGCAACTAACGTTCAATGTTATAATCATTCATCATTCTATGTAATATAATCAAAATGAGTAGGAAAATGTGTTTTTTACTACTGCATGAAATTGTATTCATTCTCACGCAGCTGAAATTAAATTCAAATGTTACCTACTTAATGCAGGTGAACATTTATATTAAAAAGAATACTTTTTTTAATTTAAAAAAAGGTGAAGTTTCCTGTTACGCTTTTTTGAAAAGTACCTACAAATAGCACTCCTTATTTACATAAAGCAGGTTTTAATCATGTTGTGGTTGGTTTTTAGATCTAGAATTTATAAGTGTTATCTTAAATTGAAAGACAAATTGAAGTCAGTCAAGGTTTATCTATTATGAAACGTTATCATAATTATGATAAAATAATTATGTTATTAGCCAACTTTTTAATCTAACATTACTAACACTGAAGTATTTTTTCAATAACCTAATAAAATTAATGTTGTCATCATTAAACTTTCTGATTTACAAAGTATTTTTCACATCCTTCATTGCATTAGATCCTAAAAACAACCCTCTACATTAGCATAGTAAATATTTGTAGATTGCTTCCCCAACATCCATTTCCCTCTTTTCTGGCCAAAAAATAACCATGCCATTCTTTGGAGGAATCACCTGTCCCCCAGTCTCAGCCACACAGTTTGGGTGGAGTTAACCCCATCGCTAGTACCAGGAATTGCTTATGCCACTCAGTGTATTCTATCTTTCAGGCCCCATTTATCAGTTTAGGAATGGTCCCTTAAACCAGTGAAATCATGTTCTTGTTTTCTGGGACTTCTAGGAAAGGGAACTTCCTTTATCTCTCATGGGAACTACTGTAAGATTCTGAAACTTTTTGGAATAATACGGTATAAGAATGTAAGATCTGGTAAGATCTGGCTGGATGCAGTGGCTCACACCTGCAATACCAACATGTTGGCAGGCCAAGGCAGGAAGATCCCTTAAGGCCAAGAGTTCAAGACTAGCCTGGACAACACAGTCAGACCCCCCCATCTCTAAAAAAAAAAAAAAATACAAAAATTAGCCAGGCATAAGGTCATACGCCTGTAGTCCGAACCACTAGGGAAGCTGAGGAAGGAGGATTGTTTGAGCCCAGGAGTTCGAGGTTTCAGTGAGCTATCATTGCACCACTGCATTCCAACCTGGACAAAAGCACGAGACCGTATCTCTTTAAAAAAAAAAAAAATGTAAGATCTGAAACCAAAACTGCTAAAACCTTAGTTCCACATAAGGAAGGATGGATAAAAGGGAGGGAGAGGGAAGAAGGTCAAGAGCATAGAGGAGAAAGGAAAACAGGAAAGTAAAGAAAGATGAGAGAGAAAAAAAGGAGAAAAGAGATGTCCAGGCTAGAGAAGGGCACATGAGAAGAAAGGGAGGACAGAGACAAGGAATAAAGCAGAGGCAAACAGAGAAAAACAGAGCTCAGGATGCAGCAAATCCAGAGAGTGAAAAAGTTCTTACCAGGCATTGCCTTGCACTTCAGGTAAGCTGTAGAATAAATTATCTGCTATTGTGAATAGTATCGCAATAAACATATGTGTGCATGTGTCTTTATAGCAGCATGATTTATAGTCCTTTGGGTATATAACCAGTAATGGGATGGCTGGGTCAAATGGTATTTCTAGTCCTAGATCCCTGAGGAATCGCCACACTGACTTCCACAATGGTTGAACTAGTTTACAGTCCCACCAACAGTGTAAAAGTGTTCCTATTTCTCCACATCCTCTCCAGCACCTGTTGTTTCCTGACTTTTTAATGATTGCCATTCTAATTGGTGTGAGACGGTATCTCACTGTGGTTTTGATTTGCATTTCTCTGATGGCCAATGATGAGCATTTTTTCATGTGTCTTTTGGCTGCATAAATGTCTTCTTTTGAGAAGTGTCTGTTCATATCCTTTGCCCGAACCAACCCAAATATCCAACAATGATAGACTGGATTAAGAAAATGTGGCACATATACACCATGGAACACTATGCAGCCATAAAAAATGATGAGTTCATGTCCTTCGTAGGGACATGGATGAAGCTGGAAATCATCATTCTCAGTAAACTATCGCAAGGATAAAAAACCAAACACCGCATGTTCTCACTCATAGATGGGAATTGAACAATGACAACACATGGAGACAGGAAGGGGAACACCACACTCTGGGGACTGTTGTGGGGTGAGGGGATGGGGGAGGGATAGCATTAGGAGATATACCTAGTGCTAAATGACGAGTTAATGGGTGCAACACACCAGCGTGGCACATGTATACATGTGTAGCTAACCTGCACATTGTGCACATGTACCCTAAAACTTAAAGTATAATAATAATAATAATAATAATAATAACAAAAAGAACAAATTATCTGTTAAATTGCCTTTTGAAGTTCTCTAACCACTACTCACAGCCCAGAAGCTATTCTGAATGGGGCAGCTGTAGCAAGTCTATGAAGAGACATATTCTTTGCCTTAAAAGACCATCACCTAATAGAATTTATGAATAAAGAAACAGAACTCTTGCTCAGCACAGTGGCTCTGGCTGGGTGCAGTGGCTCACGCCTATAATCCCAGCACTTTGGGAGGCTGAGGCAGGTGGATCACTCAAGGTCAGGAGTTCAAGACCAGCCTGGCCAACATGGCAAAACCCCGTCTCTACCAAAAAATACAAAAAAAAAAAATTAGCCAGGAGTTTTGACACACGCCTGTAGTCCCAGTTACTCGGGAGGCTGAGGCACAAGAATTGCTCAACCTAGGAGTCAGAAGTTGCAGTGAGCTGAGATCGCATCACTGCACTCCAGCCTGGGCGACAGAAAAAGAAAAAAAGAAAGATAGTTAATGAGACTGAAATACACTAATTTTAGCAATCTGAGTTAACTGTAGTACAATAGGCCAAATCACTGCTACTTTTTTTGCCAAAAGCAAATAATCTCATCATTAGCTGTTTATCGAGTACTTATCATAATTCTAATGATTTACTATCTTTTCACATCTTCCTTGGCAAACCTAAGGGTTACGAGACATTCCCACTGGTAACAGTAGTTCTCACATTGACCTCAAAGGATTGGAAAAGCCAATCTTTGACAAAGGCTGGGCTGGGAATTGAGGATACCATGGTACACAAAAACATTGTGCCAGCAGTCATAGAATTTAGTCTCAGGGAGAAACAGAGACAATAAAAATAGACACAGACACAGACAGACAGACAGACACACACACACACACACACACACATGCACACCCCAAAAATGATTGACTATATACCTGTGTGTATATGCATGAGTTTGCCGTCACTGTGCCCTCACTTTGAAGCAGCCCTATGGTGATTCCACCTTCCCCACCCTTACTCCCAGGGAAATACACACCTTCACATGGTGAACCACTAGTTAGATGCTAGAAGTGAATTAAACTCTATGATACTCATCTAAATAATACAATACTCTTTATACATTAGAGTAAAGCAGCCTAGGTAAAAATCAGGAGACTTAAGTAGAGTCTCAACTCCACGACCTGCTACATAATTTGTGAGTACTGGTGTAAATAAAAACTATAGGGCCTCCTGTGGATGTTATTAACAAATTCAAGACAGTGACAGCAGAACATTTAACTAAGCCCAGGGCTACCCATGACTGCACAGATTACACACCCATGAAACCTTCATGGCTTCCAAACTTATTGGATGTGCAACTTTTATGCAGTTGCTTACCCTACCTCAGGTTCCTTACAGCTTAAAATTAGAGGAAGAAAAGACTTTCTGCACCCTCCCATAACTAACATCTGTAGTTCTCTATTAAGGAGTGAAACCACTCATTTGAACAGAGTTCTTTTACCTTTTTATAGAAACATTAAAATTCTGACCACGACTCGAAGCTACTGTTATGTAAAAACCCATACATAGTATTTCATTTTCAACCATATTGATGTTTTTTATTTCTATATACCTCCTTAATTTTGCCTAAGAGGAAAAAATATCCAAAGCAGTGTTCCAAGTTTACTATTTTCCCATGTATGCCTTTTAAATCTGAAATTCCCAACTGGGGTCTCTATGTCTAGAAAGTAGTTTTTCCCACAGTAAAATGTCTCCTTGCACAAATCAGATATTTTCTTTTTCTATCACGGAAAAATTATCTATTCAGAATCAACTTCCACATATGGTACAGCATCTGGGTCTGATCCAGTGAAAAGAAGGCAAAATGTCATTTTGACAGTGAGTTAACCCTTTTATTCCCCCAGTTTAGTATTTAGCACAACATAACTGATAACTACGGAAACCAGGAATTCTTTATCTGGGGTCTATAAACAGATTTCTGGGAGTTAATCAACTCAAGTGAAAAAAAAAGTGTATCTTTATTTTCATCACCTCTAAAATTTAGCATTTTATTCTATTATAAATGTAGGTGACAAACCACAAGAATATTAGTGGTACCTATGACTTGATCACGAATAAATATTATGCATATCTTTGTATCATATTACAATTACTACAGATACCATGAAATACCACTTATGCTCAACATGACTTCAAAATTATAATAGTGTTACACCCACTATTAGATATTGTGGTTTAATGTGTTAGTAAAAATTATATATTTTTAATAATGCAAAATTGATTTTTCCATTGAATATATTTCAGTATAACCAGCTTCCTTTGTAATCCTAAGTACCTTATTTTATGTGTTCAAAAACACAATTGCAAGGAAAAGTCCAGACTTCACCAGACTACCAAAGGGGTTCGTGGCACATAAAAGGTGAAGAAACAAGTCAAAGTAAGTTACAGAGTACATGTGAAGCAACCATATCTCTTGTCTTATAAGAAGCAACAGACACATTCTAGTAAAAACAGCCTGGAAAATTTGGGTTCAACAATGATGTCTACATTACAACAAAATCTTCATGGTCCGTGTATTTTAATATGAAAACAAGTACATGGGCCATTCGTGGTGGCTCATGCCTGTAATCCCAGCACTTTGGGAGGCCAAGGTGGGCAAATCACCTGAGGTCGGGAGTTCGAGACCAGCCTGACCGACATGGAGAAACCCCATCTCTACTAAAAATACAAAATTAGCCGGGCGTGGTGGCACATGCCTGTAACCCCAGCTACTCAGGAGGCTGAGGCAGAAGAATTGCTTGAACCCAGGAGGTGGAGGTTGCAGTGAGCCAAGATCACGCCATTGCACTCCAGCCTGGGCAACAAGAGCAAAATTCCATCTCAAAAAAGAAAAGAAACAAGTACATCAAAATGAAACAGTTTTCAGTGTTGTTGTGTTGGTTTTTGTATTGTTTTTGTACATGTGACCATAGAATTTGATCTGAAAAGGTATAACCCAGACACAGTTTTTATAACATTATCTGAAATGTTAGTTGGATTGTTACCTGGGATGACAGTAGGTTACAATCAATGAACAGTCCTTTCCCAGTTTTGTATTTTTGTATCAATCCAGCCATAATAGCTCCATATGCATACAGGCCAGTGGCAAGATCAGTCATAGCTACTCCTGGGCGAACTGGATCTCCATTCTGATTTGAAGGTTGGGTTGAGAAAGAAGAAATAATTAAACATTAAAAGAATCATATGATTTCTCAAATCTTCTAATGTGAAATAGAAAAAAGAATTGTCTATTAACTGTGCAGACACATACACACAAGAAAGTTAATAAAATAAATTGCTATTGTGAATATCTGTTGGTAATAGGAAAATATTTATATTTACTATATACTTCTCAGTGCATTTCTCTCCCCAATGCCTACTAACCAAACTAAAAATAAAAGATTTTTTAGAAACCGATCTGATGTTTCAATGTTTTAAATTCCTTCTTGATATATTTTATCTTGTTTATGCTAAAAAAATTAATTGAATTTAAATGAGTTAATTTGTTGGGGAGAAAGAGTTAAAGCAGTGTTTTTCTCCTATTGGGTGAGAGGCTCTCTCACAAAAAAAAAAAAAAAAAAAAAAAAAGAAGGTAAAAAATCTGGTCAAACCTCCTTGTAAGCACACCAATAGCTGGCAAAAATACTAACAGTGTTTGCTTAATAATTTAAAAAAAGACTATTTACCCATAAAAAGCTGTTAGCAGACTGCCCCTGAATTAGGATTACTATGATAAACAAACTGAGAATCTCAAGATTTATGGGACATGGAGCACTGGGCACAGGGCATGAGCTTTGCAACTATCTGGGTATAAAACGGAGATGTTTCACAGCCTGTAACACTCCCTGCTAATAACTCATATATTTCATTAAGGACCTCATCTACTGCTTTGGGCCACAGAGTTTTGTCTATTGCAGTAAGAAAGGATCCGGGGGCCTCTCTCAATGTCCCAGACATGTCTCTGCTTTTTCTGAGCCTTTTGATTGCTTGTATTCTTGAAATTATAAGGAAAGCTTAATATTGATTAACATCTCCACTTCATGTCAGTCTGATTTGACAATCCAATCCTTGGCCCATATGTAAAGATGTTAGAACAGTACTTGACACAAAATAAAAATCACCTATCAAAATTATCAACATTGTTATTAGTCATTGATATATCAGATAGTTTCTACTTGTCACTACCTTTAATTCTGCTAAGCCTTAAATCGCACAGAATACCTAAAAAAACTCACATTTCATACTTCATCTGGCTGATGCAGTGATTCAATTACCTCCTTATTAAGTCTAGCTTCTGTTGAATCATTTTCAGAAGTTAATTTGTCCTTTTTTTGTAGCCCATCATAAACCATGTTAATTGTTTTGCAAAAGTACTGTTTTGCAAAATAATGTTTAAAGCAAGTAACTGAGACGGTATAGTAGCTAAACTTATTTTTCCCTGCTTTTCAATACAATTTCAAGGACGATATTGCCATGAAACTTGGAAATGTCTGGCAGTTTACTATTATTATTGTCAAAAGTTGTAATGTAATGCCTTAAATCAATACACTTAAAATTAAATTTGTCATTAGAATTTAAAATTATTTAATGTCTTAAAAGTGAGAGACAAGTTCAAAGTTACATTGACCCTTGAACAACAAAGTTCTGAACTGCATGGATCCACTTATACGTGGAATTTTTTTTCAATAAAAGTTACACTAAAGGCTGGGCACGGTGGCTCACACCTGTAATCTCAGCACTTTGGGAGGTCAAGGCGAGTAGATCACCTGAAGTCAGGAGTTCAAGACCAGCCTGGCCAACATGGTGAAACCCCGTCTCTACTGAAAATACAAAAATTAGCCAGGTGTGGTGGCACATATATGTAATCCCGGCTACTCAGGAGACTGAGGCAGGAGAACTGCTTGAACCCGGGAGGCGGAGGCTGCAGTGAGCTGAGATCGTGCCACTGCACTCCAGCATGGGTAACAGAGCAAGACTCCATCTCAAAAAAAAAAAAATAATAATAATAATAATAATAATACCATATGATCCAGCAATTCCACAGCTGGGTAGATATCCAAGAAAGAAGAAAATCAATCACGAAGAGATATGTGCACTCCCATGGTTACTGCAGCACTATTGACAACAGCGGAAATATGGAATAAACCCAAGTGTCCATCAAAGGATGAATGGATAAAGAAAATGTGTTCACGCACAGTGGCTCATGCCTATAAATCCCAACACTTTGGAGGCCAAGCAGGAGGATCACTTGAGGCCACGAGTTCAAGAACAGCCTGGGTGACAGAGTAAGACCCTGTCTCTACCAAAAAATACAAAAATTAGCCGGGCATGGTGGCACACACCCCTAGTACCAGCTACTTGGGAGTCTGAGGTGCAAAGATCACTTGAGTGCAGGAGTTCCATCCAGGCTGGAATGAGCTATGATCATGCCACTGCACTCCAATCTAGGCAAAAGACTGAGACCCTGTATATATATATATATATATATATATATATATATATATATATATATATATATATGTCACATTGCAGTTGTTTTTGAAACATCCATATATATATATATATAGAGAGAGAGAGAGAGAGAGAGAGAGAGCGAGACAGAGAGAGAGGAATATTATTCAGCCATAAAAAATTAGCTGGGCAAAGAATAAATTCCTGTCATTTGCAACAATATGGATGTCACTGGAGGACATTATGTTACATGAAAGAAGCCAAGCACAGAAAGACAAATATCACATATTCTGACTCAGATGTGGAAGCTAACAAAGTAGATCTCATGAAGATAGAGAGCAGACTGCTGGTTACCAGAGGCTGGGAAGGGTAGGGGGAGGAGAGATGAAGAGAGGTTGATTAGTGGGTACAAACATACGCTTAGATGGAAGAAATAAGAATTGTTGTTCAGTAGATCAGTACGGTGACTATAGCTAACATCAAAAGGCTGTACATTTCAAAATAGTTAGCAGGGAATAATTGGAATGTTCCTAGAACAGAGAAATGGTAAATATTTAAGGTGATGATGGGTATATCAACAGCCCTGATCTGATTATATTAATGTATGGAATGATCACATGAACCCTGAAAACATGTACACCTATTATGTATCGATTTTTAAAAAGCTAAAAAAAAATGAAACTTCTCAACCTAATAAAGGGCATCTATTAAAAATCATAACCCAGATCACACTTAAAAGTAAAGAACTGAATGTTTTCCCCTAAAATGAAGAACAAGACAAGAGGCCAGGCACGAAGGCTCATTCCTATAATCCCACACTTTGGGAGACTGAAGGGAGGGCCACTTAAGCTCAGGAGTTGGAGCCCAGACTGCACAACATAGTGAGACCCCCGCCTATATATTTTACAAAAGAAAAAAAATTTAACTAATTATTTTTTAAAAGAATGAGACAAGGATGTCCACTCTAACCACTTCAATTCAACATTACACTGGAGGTTTTAGCCAGTGCAGTTAGGGTACAAAAAGAAATAAAATGAATTTAGGTTGCAAAGAAAGAAGTAAAACTATCTCAATTTGCAGATGACCCAGTCTTATATATCAAAAGTCCTAAGGAATCCACTAAAAAACTCTTAGAACTAGTAATCGAGTTAAGCAAGATTGCAAGATAAAAGCCAATATACAAACATCAGTTGTATTCTACACACTAGCAATAAACAAACAAAAAATGAAATAAAGAAAGTAATTCAATTTATAATAGGATAAAAAAGAATAAAATACTTAGAAATAAATTTAACAAAAGAAGTACAAACTTATACTCTTAAAATAATAAAATATTGTTGAAAGAAATTAAGACAAAAATAAACCAAAAGACATCTCACAGTCATGGAGCAGAAGACTTAATATTGTTAATATGGCAATGCTTCCCACACTCCTCTGCATATTCAAGGCAATTCTACCTACCAAAATCCTAGATACCTTTTTTGCAGAAATAAAATCTGATCCTAAAAATTCATATGGAAATACCATAAACAAAGAATAACCAATCTAGAAAAAGACAAAGTTAGAGGACTCACAAATTCTGATTTCAAAACTTACTACAAAGCTACTGTAATAAAGGCAGCATGGTACTGGTGGAAGGCAGACATATAAACAATAAAAATTCTCACATTTACATCCAATTACTTTTTGACAAATATGCCAACACAATTCAATTGGAAGAGTCTTTACAAAAAATGGTGAAAATAATAAAGTTGGATCCCCTCCTTGCAGTACATACAAAAATTGACTCTAAATGGACCAAAAATCTAAACTTAAGAGCTACAACTATATAACAAAAGAAAATATAGGAGTAAATCTTTATGATATTGGATTTGGCAATAATTTCTTTGATATGACATCAAAAGCACTAGCAACAAAAGAAAAAATAAATTGGACATAATTGAAATTAAAAATATGTGTTTCAAAGGACACCATCAAGAAAGTGAAAGGACAACCCAAAGAATAAGAGAAAGTTTAGTAAATCATGTACTTGATAAGAAATTTGTACAGAATTTCTTTTTTTTTTTTTTTTTTTTGAGAAAGGGTCTTGCTCCATCACCCAGGCTGAAATCCAATGGTGTAATCTCGGCTCACTGCAACCTCCACCTCCTGGGTTCATGCAATTCTCTTATCTCAGCCTCCCGTGTAGCTGGGACCACAGGCGCACACCACCATGCCCAGCTAATTTTTGTATTTTTGTAGAGACAGGGTCTCCCCACGTTGCCCAGGCTGGTCTTGAACTCCTGGGCTCAAGCAATCCACTGGCCTGGGCCTCCCAAAGTGCTGGGATTAAAGGCATGAGCGATCACACCCAGCCCAGAATTTTTAAAGAACACTTACAACGCAAAAATAACAAGAAAAATGACCTAATTTAAATATGGGCAAAAGATCTCAATAGACATTTCTCCAAAGAAAATATACAAATGGTCATTAAACACACGTAAAGATGCTTAATATCATTAGCCATCAGAGAAATGCAAATGAAAACCACAGTGAGTCTACAACTCAACAATAAAAAGACAAATAATCCCATTTTTTAAAAATGGGTAGGTCAGGAGCAGTGGCTCATACCTGTGATCCCAGCACTTTGGGAGGCTGAAGCCGGAGGACTCCTTGAGCTCAGGAGTTTGAAACAAGCCTAGGCAAAAAAGCAAGTCCACATCTCTACGATAAATACAAAAATTAGCCAGACATAGTGGTGCACACCTGTGGTCCCAGCTACTAGGGACACTGAGGCAAAAGGATTGCTTGAACCCAGGAGGTGGATGTTGCAGTGAGCTGAGATTCCACCACTGCACTCTAGCCTGGGTAACAGAGCAAGACTCTGTCTCAAAAAATAAATAAATAAATAAATAAAATAAAAAATTAAAAAAGTAAAAATTGAAGTTAAATGGGCAGAGGTTTTAAAGACACATTTCTCCAAAGAACTAGATACAAATGACCAATGGGCACATGAAAAGATATTCAACATCATTAGTTGTCAGAGAAATGTAAATTAAAACCACAGTGAAATACTACTTCACACTCACAAGGATGACTATCATAAAAAAAGAGAAATAACAAGTGTCAAGAAGGATGTGAAGAAATGGAGCCTTCATGTACTATTGGTGGGACTGTGAAATGCGGTAGTCACTGTGATAAACAGTCTGGCAGTTCCTCAAAAAGTTAAATATAGAGTTACCATATGACCCAGCAATTTCACTAAGGGGTATATACCCAAGAAAATGAAAGCATGGGCTGGGCACATTGGCTCATGCCTGTAATCCCAGCACTTTGGGAGCCTGAGGCGGGCGGATCACGAGGTCAGGAGTTCGAGACTAGTCTGGCCAACATGGTGAAACCCCATCTCCCCTAAAAATACAAAAATTAACCGGGCACGGTGGTGCACGCCTGTAATCCCAACTACTCAGGAGTCTGAGGCTTGAACCCGGGAGGCAGAAGTTGCAGTGGGCCAAGATTGCACCACTGCACTCCAACCTAGGGGACAGGGCAAGACTCCAACTCGGAAAAAAAAAAAATTAAAAACAAGAAAATGAAAGCATGTGTCCTCACAAAAAGCTTAGACACAAATTTTTATAGCAGCATTATTCATAATAGCCTAAGAGTAGAAATAACCCAAATGTCCATCAAATGATAACAGATAACGTGGGGACTAGCCATATGGTAGGATATTTTAGGCAACAAAAAAGAAACTATTCTACTAATACAATACGGTGGGATATTTTAGGCAACAAAAAAGAAACAAACTATTCTACTAATACATGGAAGCACTTTAACAAATATTATGCTAAGTGAGAGAAGGCAGTCACAAAAGGCTGCATATTATATAATTCCATTTACGTGAACTGTCCAGAACAGGCAAATCCATAGAGACAGAAGGTAGATTAGCCAGGGGCTGGGCGGAGGCAGGAATAGGGAATGACCACAAATAGGTAAGAGGTTTCTTTATGGGGTGATGAAAATGTTCTAAAATTGACTGTTGTAAGGTTGCAAAACCTGTGAAGTATACTAAAAGCCACTGAATTGTATGCTGTAAATGGGTGAGTTGTACAGTATATGAATTATATCCATAAAGCTGTTGTATTTTTAAACTCCATAATTCTGATAATTAAATGAAGCAGGAAAAATAAAGTTTAAAAAAAATCTTTAAAGACCTGCTTAAAATCATGTATTTAGTAAAAATTCTAGAAGTTTTCTTTCATTCAAGGCTATTGTTTTATTTCAATGAAGTTTTATTTCAGTCAAGGGTAACAATAACTAAAGAAGGGGTACCATTCACTCCTTAGTACAATTCTGAGGTGGCTATGCTCATACTGTGAAAATGTCTTATAAATATATTCCTATCATTGAAAAGTTGTCAGAATGCCAGAGAAATAAGGAAGCAAAAATAAATTACCATTTAGTGAGTAGAAATTCCCACAGAGAACGACACTGTGACTGTAAAGTGCCTAAGTATTCCCAGGTGCAAGAAGACAAAATCAGAGAAGGGGCTGTGTATCTACAAGGTACAACCCCCTTCCACATCTGGAACTCCACAGAGCCCTGCTGCTATAGCAGTACTAAACAATGTCTCCCTTCTCCTTAACTCTGGGATGAATGGGGTGGTATTGTCTCTATCATGGGTAAAGGGATTCATTACTCAAAATCTTTAGTAAAAATACATTGAAAAAAATGGGTAATTCACAAACCTTGTTAAGCAATATGCCTGAGAATCTCACCATAATTTATTAGAAGTGGACTTAAACTCATATACAGACTTTTAAACATCAAGTAATATTTTATTTTATTAAATTATAGCTCTAGAAATTGATAGTACAATTTTTATTTTGTTCATGGTCACTCAGAAACGGTTTTAAATGTATTTAGCTCTTTTAATGAATTAATGTAACCCTTTTGTCAGAGAGATTTATGATAATTTTGCTGTAAAAGTAACAGATATGACTGTCATCAATAAAGACAAGAAAGGGAAGAGTCTCTAGTTAACACTTAAGACATACAATTATAGTGTGAGGACAAAGTATTAAATAAAAATACTAAAAGTCTTCTGATTATTCACTTCCCATATGTATTCATGTATTTCTCTATTTTCACCATTCCCAGTGTTATTTTCTTTTTTTCTTCCTTTTTTTTTTTTGTTTGTTTGTTTTTGTTTTTTTTAGATGGAGTCTTGCTCTGTCTCCCAGGCTGCAGTGCAGTGGCATGATCTCAGCTCTCTGCAACCTCCACCTCCTGGCTTCAAGTGATTCTTCTGCCTCAGCCTCCCGAGTAGCTTGGGACTACAAATGCATGTCACCATGCCCGGCTAATTTTTTTATTTTTAGTAGAGATGGGGTTTCACCATATCGGCCAAGTTGATCTCAGACTCCTGACCTCGTGATGTGCCCGCCTTGGCCTCCCAAAGTGCTCGGATTAT
Organism: Homo sapiens; assembly: GCF_000001405.40. Classification (NCBI taxonomy): domain Eukaryota; kingdom Metazoa; phylum Chordata; class Mammalia; order Primates; family Hominidae; genus Homo; species Homo sapiens. Next base: position 40,266,758 of record NC_000007.14, on the reverse strand, counting down.
AGGCGTGAGCCATCATGCCCAGCCCCCAGTGGGTTATTTTCTTATACTCTGTCATCCCCCATTCATTCATGTATTCAAAAATTCACTAAAAGTAAAAGCTGACCATTAGTGGAAAACCCACTCAAATCTGAATAAGGTGCAGTTTAGATAAAAGAATTGTATCAATGATTATTAAAAGAAATTATCAATGATAATTTCTTAGTTTTGATCATAGCTCTACTTGAAAATGTTAACATTAAAGGAAATGGGGTGAAGAGTATAGGCACTCTACTACTTGTGCAACTTTTTTGATAGGTATAAAACTATTTCAGGCCAGGCGCAGTGGCTCACATCTGTAATCCCAGCACTTTGGGAGGCCGAGGCGGGCAGATCACCCGAGGTCAGGAGTTTGAGACCAGCCTGACCAACATGGAGAAACTCCCTCTCTACTAAAAATACAAAATTAGCCAGGCATGGTGGCAAGCACCTGTAATCCCAGCTACTCAGGAGGCTGAGGTAGGAGAATCACTTGAATCCGTTGCACTCCAGCCTTGGCAACAAGAGCAAAACTCCACCTCAAAAAAAAAAAAAAAAGGAAAGGAAAGAAAAGAAAAGAAAAAGAAAAAAAACTATTTCAAAATTAAAAAGTTAAAAAGTAAAACCTGAAATTCCTTCTTTAAAAATTGATAATTTTGAAATGACAGAAATGGTTTAGTGGTTTTTCTTTATTTTTTTGATTATGCAATCTAGAGATGAAGGGGAAAAACCACACCACTACCTGTGAAGGTTTTTGTTTTTTGTTTGTGTGTGTGTGTGTGTGGTTTTTTTTGAGACAGAGTTTTGCTCTGTTGTCCAGGCTGCAGTGCAGGGGCGTGATCTCAGCTCACTGTAGCCTCCGCCTCCTAGGTTCAAGCGATTCTCCTGCCTCATTCTCCCAAGTATCTGGGATTACAGGCACATGCCATCATGCCCTGCTAATTTTTGTACTTTTAGTAGAGACGGGGTTTCATCATGTTGGCCTGGTCTCGATCTCATGGCTTAAAGTGATCTGCCTGTCTCAACATCCCAAAGTGCTGGCATTACAGGCCTGAGTCACTGCAACCAGCCAAAGGTTTTTTTTTTGTTTGTTTCCTTTACATCCCGATCTCTTAAATCACAAAATTAAATATTTTAAAAGATTACTTACATACACAATTTAAGAATTTTTAACATTTTTATTCATTTCTCTATGCTCTTCCCACTACATTCAGAGCTTGCCAAATGAAACAGGGAAAGAAAAAAGAAAGAAATGAGGGAAGGAAGAAAAGAAGGAGGGGGGAGAGAGGGACAGCGTGAAAAAAAATCATGTGTTTTTCTAAGTTTCTAAAATCTTGTTTTGTTAAAAAGTGCATTGAAGCTGTAAATCAATTTGGGCATATGTTCAATAAAGAAGCATGAATTTGAAAAGTCGCCAAGCATTTTTCTCTTGTTACATTACTCAACCTAATTACTTCATAAAACAACAAAAGTGTTAAAACTTTTTTTAAGTAGTTGGCTTCATTTCTAAAATAAAAAATCATTCTTAAATGTATGTGTCCCTATGTTGTATCTTTATTTCATACTGAGTCATTCGTTATACAAATGTAATCTACAGAAATTTTTTTTGTATCCTGGGGCACACAAATTTTTTAATAAACCACTTTCCGAAATATAAATTTTTCTAGCATTTACTAACCACACAACCTTTGGAGAAGTTCTTGGCCTTTCTTAGTTTTTTTCTCAGTTGTCAAATATGGGTAATGATAAAATCTACTTCAGCATTTGGTATGAGAATTAAGTAAGAAAAGGTGTATAAAAGCACTTTATGAAGGTAAAAGGCTGCACAAATGAGACTTTTTATAAACAACTTGGTGTGATGATGGGACACCTGTCAGAATGACTTCGCAATAGTGCAGGGCAGAGAGACGAGATGAGAATCTCAATCAAGGACAAGTGGAGGCCATGGATTCAAGAGATACTTAGAAACTTGAATTCAGAGACTTTGATTATTGATCAGTTGGGGAGAGTAAAAAATGAAATAAATTTGGGGAAACAATCAACAGGAAATTAAGTTTCTTAATATGAAGGTAGTATTTTCATTGTTAAAACCACTATTCTCATGACTTGTAGCCCTAACTAGCAGGAAAACTGTCTTCAGTGGAATTGCAAGCATAGAGAACAAAGAATGGAATATTCAGATCAAATGAGGGTTTCCGTGCACACAGAACATGAGTCCTCACAGTCACTGCATTCACACTTCATGGGCACAGACTCTGCAACTATACAGCATCTGAACCTTCTGTTCCAAACACACACTCTACTTGAACCACTAATTGATACTAAAAATATGCTTACAGACGTTCACATACAAATTTCCACAAACTAACATTCCCCTACTTGAAGGAAATTCCATTTAGTAACTCAAAACACTGAACTCCACTCCTTCCACTGCCTCATCTATAAACAGGCATAACAAAGTCTATTACTTATGTACCTCAGTAACACTATGGAGTCCTCCAGTCTAAATCACACCATTTTAGAACTTGAAAGGATCCTGTAGTTCGATCCTCTTATCAGTAAAGGTAAACAAGCAGGAAAGTACACGAGTTGTTTAGAGATCAGTGTCTACTAATTACTGACAAACAGAGCCCTAATAAGACAGAGAAAAGAGTCTTAACACTACAAAGCACTAAATTTAGGCTATAAGTGGTGAACAATCCCAGCAAGAGAAAGGTCTTTACATTGCAGACCAGAACAGGAAGATCATTTTTCTTCATTACACCCTGAAAGACTTGAAGCTTTCACCCATACACCTCCAGCTAAACCTCAACAAACCACAAACCAGAAGAAAAAAAAAATGACGAATTGAGACCCCAGAAGAAAGGAAGAAAAAAGAAAGACTGACAGGAAGGGGGAAAGAAGAAAGCAAAAACTCTCTCTGATCTTCATTGCAGGTGGACTCACCATATTAGCCAGGCAACTCAAGGGAAAATGTAACAAAGTGATTTGTGTCATTCTCCAGATCCCTTGTAAGTGCCTGATTACCTAATATTATTAATGTCTTTGTAATACTATACTAAAATGTTCTGCCCTTCCAAACATGAAAAGTATGAACTTATAAATCATAATATCATATAGTCAAATTTTAGCATCCAACTTACTCTACACAAGGCTTACAAGCAAGCAATCTTTGTTACAGAAGAGAAGCTAAGGAAGAGTCAATTTAAATAAATACTGTGAGATGTTAAGTAGCAAAGTCAAGATGAGACCCCAAATCAATTTATCCAAAAACTGCTGCCTATACCACTTTTCTGGATTCAAATGCCTTCCTCAGGGCTTCATGATCAGGTTCAGATTAAATATTTTGCACTTAATAAACTAATAAGCTGTATTCAGATCTCTTTCACATCTGTAACATGTATGCTTCCAACATCATGTTTTTCAAAATGCTTTAACACATGTTGTCAGATTTAACACTAAAAGATAATTTTATAAGTGCCAATATTATCACTATTTTACAATTCATGAGAGAAATATTTAGGCTGGGCACCGTGGCTCATGCCTGTAATCCCAACATTTTGGGAGGCCAAGGTGGGCAGATCACTTAAAGTCAGGAGTTCAAGACCAGCCTGGCCAACATGGTGAAACCCATCTCTTCTAAAAATACAAAAATTAGCCAGATATGGTGGCACGCACCTGTGATCTCAGCTACTGGGGAGGCTGAGGCAGCAGAATCGTCTGAAAACAGGAGGCAGAGTTTGCAGTGAGCTGAGATGGCACCACTACACTTCAGCCTGATGACAGAGCAAGACTCTGTCTCAAAACAAAGAAATATTTAGACAATAAATTAACTTGTCAAAGTCACAGAGAGTAAATGATACAACTAGAACTCAGGAATTCTGATCCAAAAGCTTCTGTTCTTTTTGCTACCATCTTTTCTCCATATATTGTTTTATTATACATCAATATTCCTCATCTTTCCTTTTCAGACAATCACTAAAGAGCAAAAATTTTAAATGTGTGAGTTAATTTGTCATTTCTACAACTGCAGTCAAGAAATGATAGGCCCTAATGTGGTATGGCTTGTTCTTTTTTTTGAGAGAGAGTCTTGCTCTGTCGCCCAGGCTGGAGTGCAGTGGTACGATCTCGGCTCACTGCAAGGTCCACCTCCAGGGTTCACACCATTCTTCTGCCTCAGCCTCCCGAGTAGCTGGGACTACAAGGGCCCACTACCACGCTCGGCTAATTTTTTTTTTTTTTTTTTTTGTATTTTCGGTAGAGACGGGGGTTTCACCATGTTAGCCAGGATGGTCTCGATCTCCTGACCTCACGATTCGCCCACCTCGGCCTCCCAAAGTGCTGAGACTACAGGCATGAGCCACCGCGCCCAGCCGGTATGGCTTGTTCTTTGCAACTCAAGTGAACTGCAAACAATCTAATGTACCTACAGAGAAACATGCTTTTACCACTCAGAGATCAGGCAGGATGGGCACGTTCAGGGAGGTATGGCCATAGATGCTTTTACCATCTGAACAATGTAAACCAAAACTTTTTTCAGAAAATAATTGAAAGAATCAATTCATTGGCAGCCTACATTGAAAAATACACAAAACCACAAATTTCCAAAAATGCCTTAATACTTCGATCACACTATTTTCTTGTCTACTGACTGAAAACCATCTCAATCATTTTTACTAAGCTCCCACAGTGAGATTCCCAAAATATCATCTAGCCTGTCTGTCCTCATGAGTTTAAATAGAGTAAGACTGGGAGAAAATGAAATGGAAGGTTGGGGAATTGTGATATTTTAAGGAATAGACTAAGAAATAATTTCAAAAATTATTTTACATCTTTCCATGCTGCTCTTCAAGAAAAAGTTTCTTAGTTACAGTTTCTGTGCTACAGTTTTCTGCACTGATGGATCAGAGGGTAGAAAGAACAAATGTAAAAGTCAATGGCTCCAACTTCTGAAACAAAACAACATTTATATCCACGAAGATCTGCATATAAACAATCTTGCATTTAATAGGCATCCTCTGAACTCATTCTGTAAAAAACTTTTAAAGAGACATTTGGTCTAACTCCCTGCCTTTAGGTAGGTAAATTTCTAAGTCATCTAGGAGAGATGCTCATACCTCTCTTTAAGTATCTCCAGAGGACCGAGAAGAGTTACTGAGTGTTTATTACACGCCAGGCAAGCACTACAATGGAGAAAGGAGCTAGCATTGTTTCCTCCGTGTTTGTCTACACATTATCTCATTGAATCTTAGTACATATGTTGGGATACATGTTAGTATTCTCACTTTTACAAATGAAAAAATAATGAGGCTGAGAGGTGTTAACTGGGACTAAGATTCCAAGCCAGGACTGTCTGAAGGCCCAAGATCTTTCTACTCCATCATGCTAATAGAAACTGTGTGACCCGGACCTATTTCTTTATCTTTTGGAAGATTCATTGCCCTAGTGTCAAAGAGCTCTTCATTAGGTAACTAAAACCTCTTCTCTGATATGAGCTAATATTCTCTTATTCATTGTTCTATGAATAATAACAATAACTGCTCTACATCTTACCCATAAAAATAGATTAAAACAGACATCAAATCATTTATTTGCCTTATCCAAGGCAAAAAGTCCAGTCCCTATAGACTTTCACTGGAGAAAGTCTACTTTATATCCCTGAAATCATTTTGGCCATTTTTCTTCTCCAATTATAACAACTTTTTCAAAGCATTATGACCCAAATGAACACAACACTCTGAAAAGTAACTGAGATAGAAAAAAAAAGTGGGGGTGGGGTTCCTTGCTTTAATAAAATTCAGAAAGTAAAAATAGGCCAGGCATGGTGGCTCACACCTGTAATCCCAGCACTTTGGGAGGCCAAGGTGGGTGGATCACCTGAGGTCAGGAGTTCAAGACCAGCCTGGCCAACTGAAAATACAAAAATTAGCCAGGCATGGTGGCGCACACCTGTAGTCCCAGCTACTCGGGAGGCTGAGGCATGAGAATCCCTTGAACCCAGAAGGCAGAGGTTGCAGTAAGCCGAGATCACTCCATTGCACTCCAGTCTGGGCAACAGAGTGAGACACCATCTCAAAACAAAACAAAACAAAACAAAACAAAAGCTTTTTAATCCCTACCTCAAAGCTGAATATTTTTTCCAAACATTTGTACCATATTTTTTCCAAATATTCACAACCCAGAAATTCCCAGTTCAAATTATCTGAGTACAAGGTTTTACCTAATAAGAAAGGCTCTCCTTTTAAGCGTGTAGCTTAAAGAACTCTAGAAGGAATCAAGTGCCATAGCTATGGCAACCATGTAGCAGCTTCTGATTATCAAACTGAAGCTGAATCTTTCCTAGAACAATTAAAGATTCCAAATTCATATACAGCAAATAATAAGCACCAACTCTATGGGGGGTCTATGTTATATTCTAGATATACAAAAGGAATGTCCCAAAGATTCTCTCTCAATTCAGCCACTAATATTCTAAAGAGGAAGACAAACAGATATATATTAGCAGCATAAGTAAAAACATACAGAAGCACAGAGGGAAAAAATGGCAAAACAAATCTAATAGAGTTAAGAACCATGTCATAAAGGATGGATAGAAGTCCTGCACACCTAGTAGTGCTCTCAATGGAAGCACTATTGGCATTTTGCAAGAAAAATTCAGATTCAGGGGCCTGTCCCATACATTAAGGATGTTTAATCCATACCCCAAGCACTAATGTCAATAACAAATGAAATATCCCACATATCATTTTAAAATTTCCCTAGAGTTTTACTATCTCCAGATGAAGGATACTTCAAGCTCAGAACTGACATAGTGAAGAGATCCACTATCCTATTGCTTCTTAATTATGAACAGTAGCAGGGAAAGTGAAGCCAGGAGTTCAATGACTAAATAAATGAGTGAAAGTGTTTAAAATATTAAAAGATCTAATAAGGTCAAGAAATTTGTGATACAAAAGATGCAATTAGAGAATAAAACCAAAAATAGAATCTTCACAAATAACACAAAATACAAAATGTGGATATATGAGTGGGTTGAGCAAATGAATGTCGGTAAGTAAAGATAACCATACAACTGGCATCTAAATAAGACTACAAATTACAGCATGGTTTCACATATACCTCGTGTGATGCTGCACCATCACTTTACAACCATGTATTTCTTCTTTTATTGTATATATGTACTGTGTACAACATATTTTGAAACATATGCACATTGTAGAATGGCTCCACCAAGCTAATTAACAAATGCATTACTTCATATACTTATATTTTATTATGATAACGCTTAAAAAATCTACTGTCTTAGAGATTTTCAGGAACACAATACAGTCGCGTAGCCACAGTTGGCCCTGCAGAACACAAATATATGCAAATTGACCCTCAGTATATATGTATCCCTCAAGCTGCATTTGATTGAAAAAACTCCACATGTAAGTGGGCCCGCACAGCTCAAATTCATGTTATCCAAGGGTCAACTGTACATTAAGTATATTAACTATGTTGTACAATAGATCTCTTGAACTTATTCCTTCTAGCTAAATTTTTATATCCTTTGACCAACATCTCCCTAACCTGCCCTCCTCCCCAGGCCTCTGGTAACCACCATTCTACTCTCTACATCTATGAGTTAGACATTTTCGGATTCCATATATAAGTGAGGTCATGTGGTGTTCATCTTCTGTGCCTGGCTTATTTCACTTAGAATAATGTCCTTCAGGTTCACTTATGTTATAACATGTGACAAGAATTCCTTGTTTTTTCTAAGGCTGAATAGTATTCCATTACGTATATATACCATGTTTCTTTATCCATTTATTCATTCATTCATGGACACTGAAGTTGATGCTGCAATGAACATAGGAGTGCACATATCTCTTCCACATTACTGATTTCATTTCGCTTGAGTATATGCCCATTGGTGGGGTTGCTGGATCATATAGTTGTTCTACTTTTAATTTTTTGAAGAACCTCCATACTGCTTTCCATAATGGCCACATTAATTTACATAGCCACTAACAGCCATCACTTTACAACTTTACAATTACCAGTGAAAAAACATATTTTCCAGGCCGGGTGTGGTGGCTCACGCCTATAATCCCAGCACTTTGGGAGGCCAAGGCAGGTGGATCACGAGGTCAGGAGTTCGAGACCAGCCTGACCAACATGGTGAAACTCTGTCTCTACTAAAACCACAATAATTAGCTGGAGATGGTTGCACACTCCTGTAATCCCAGCTACTCAGGAGGCTGAGGCAGGATTATCGCTTGAACCCGGGAGGTGGAGGTTGCAGTGAGCCAAGATCGCGCCATTGCACTCCAGCCTGGGCAACAGAGTAAGACTCCGTCTCAAAAAGAAAAAAAATTAAAAACATATTTTCCCTATTTTACAGATGGAAAAACTGAAGTTAGAGAATCTGTCTAACGTTACACCAAATGACAGAACGAAAATTCAAACCCAGATTTTGATTCCTATGACTGTTCAATAAAGGTGTTAAATAGGTCTTCAATGGCTGCTCAAAGTAATGACAGGACATGAACTTAAGAAGAAAACTGTAAGAGTCAAGGTTTTCAGATTACATGGCAGAGGAGAGAAAAGGCCAGGATGTTTGTTACCTATGATGGTGGGAAAGAGAGTATGTGCATAGATTTTAGAAGTGGAGTGGATGTTGGCATAGGTTATAGAACCATGACTAGATGTCAAGGTAGACAGCAAGAAGCCTGGGACACCATCCCTGGTTCAGTGTTTGCAGAAAGTGGAGAAGCCAGGAACAAGCATCCTCCAATTGAAAGTAATTTAAAACCATTATCCCAATCTATACTCCTGCTATATTGTTCATGATACTTAAATTTTATTTATTTATTTTTTTTTCTGAGACGTAGTCTTGCCCTGTCACCCAGGCTAGAGTACAGTGGCATGATCTCGGCTCACTACAACCTCCACCTCCCGGGTTCAAGTGATTCTCCCACCTCAGCCTCCCGAGTAGCAGGATTACAAGCATCCACCATCATGCCCGGCTAATTTTTGTATTTTTGTAGAGACGGGGTTTATGCATGTTGGCCAGGCTGGTCTTGAACTCCTGGCCTCAGGTGATCCGCCAGCCTCAGCCTCCCAAAGTGCTGGGATTACAGGCATAAGCCACCACACCCAGTCTTAAATTTTCTTTTTAACCTACAACATTGAAACAAACCATTTATATTAACATTTACTTTAGTCTTTCCTCCTGGTTTACTTTTTAAAAAGAAGCTTTCTCTTTTTTTTTAACATTTCTTTGAAATGTTTTCAGTTTGTTGATGTTTCTCTGGGATTTCTGGTGCTTATAAACCAACTCAGTATTACAGATTCCAGCGTACCAGTGCCATATATAGATAAACTATGATGATCTTATTCCTCTGTAACATGAAACAAAAATGAACACAGCTCAAAATGATATTGACAATATCAAGGGAATCAACATCAAGAAATAATTGTTACATAGAATGCTCAATGAAAATAATGTATTCTATCTTAAAAAATTAAAAAATAGAATACAAAAATTTGCCAAGTGTGGTGGCACATGCCTGTAATTCAGCTACTCGGGAGGCTGAGGGAGGAGAATCGCTTAAACCCATGAGGCGGAGGTTGCAGTGAACCAAGATCGCACCACTGCACTCCAGCCTGGACGACAGAGAGAGACTCCATATAAAAAATAAAAATAAAAATAGGCTGGGCGCAGTGGCTCATTCCTATAATCCCAGCACTTTAGGAGGCCAAGGTGGGTGAATCACTGGAGGTCAGGAGTTTGAGACCAGCCCGGCCAAGATGGTGAAACCCCATCTCTGTTAAAAATACGAAAATTAGCTGGGTGTGGTAGTGGGCGCCTGTAGTCCCGGCTACTCAGGAGGCCAGAGCAAGAGAATCACTTGAACCTGGGAGGTGGAGGTTGCAATGAGCCGAGATGGCACCACTGCCCTTCAGCCTGGGTGACAGAGTGAGACTCTGTCTCAGACAAAAAAGTAAAAAATAAAAATAAAAAATTATGTATTCCAAATGTGATTACATTTGCAAGACTCTTTAGAAAGATGCCAACAAATAACTGTTTCTGTAACAAGGACTACTGACCATTGAGAATCCTCATTCCCAGTCCAAACAAAGGGCTTGAATCTTTCTCTCCCCAAAAAAGGAAATACACCAGCATCCTCATTCCTCACCCTATGTAACTCCAATGTAAAATTATTTAGATGAGAAAATTTTTAAGCATTTTCCTCAAATAATGTCTCTGATCTCATTTATTTATTCTGCTTCGACCAGCAACAGCACTATTTATAGGTAACCAAAAGATACCTATAAATCAGCTGTAGCTGACCTGGGTTGGCTTCATTGCTATGGGTCTTACTATGGAATCTTCATTGTATAGAGAAGGCCAAAAACTACTAAGATTGGCTAAACCAATCTTCTTAGCCATAAGGAACTGAAAACAAGGAACAGGCTGAAATTTCATCTGTATCTGGTCCCAGAAAGGACCTTAATCCACAACCCAAAAATGTCAGGGGAAAAGAAATTCTAAATATAAATCCCATTGACTCTTGAGACATGCAAATCATCTCTTCCTCTCTATTTTTCTCTCAGAAACAACTATGCAATTATACTTTTCTTAAATAAATTCCAATGGGATCATAAAATTTAAAGAAATTTAGATTTCATGAGATGACAATAAATTTAACCCTGATCCAACTCTGTCAAGGAGAGTGGTGGAGCAAGATGGTGGAATAAAAAGCTCCACCGACCATCCCCCAACATGCACACACAAGGAGTTAACAACTATCTACACCTTCATAAGGACCAAATATCAGGTGAGCATTCATAGTACCTGGTATTAACTCTGTCCATTATATTTACCAAATGAATAGAGAATTTCAAAGATCTATGTACAAGATGGCAGTAGATCAAGACCAAGGTCCAATCTCTCCTTCTTAGACTGTGATGGCGAAAATAAAATATCAAGGAGCAATGAGATTACAAATAAAGGAAAATATGCAAAGCTACAGATCATAAACAAACAATGCAGACAGTTATTTTCTTTTTTTTTTTTTTTTTTTTTTTTTTTGATACAGAGTCTCACTCAGCCGCCCAGGCTGGAGTGCAGTGGCGTGATCTCGGCTCACTGCAACCGCCCTCTCCCGGGTTCAAGCAATTCTACCGTCTCAGCCTCCTGAATAGCTGGGATTACAGGCATCCACCATCATGCCCGGCTAATTTTTGTATTTTAGCAGAGCCGAGGTTTCCTCATGTTGGCCAGGCTGGTCTTGAACTCCTGACCTCAGGTGAACAGCCGGCCCCGGCCTCCCAAGGTGCTAGGATTACAGGCGTGAGCCACTGTGCCCAGCCTCAGCCTGTTATTTTCAATACTTTCATTAAGTCAGGCAAAAATAAACCGTCTCTTGCCTAATCCTTCTACCAGTGTTCTTTTCTCTTGCAATTTATGGACAAGTTCAAACTGAAGACATATCCTTTCCAGGATTCTTTTTTTTTTTTTTTTTGAGATGAAGTTTCACTCTTGTTGCCCAGGCTGGAGTGCAATGGTGAGATCTCAGCTCACTGCAACCTCTGCCTCCCGGGTTCAAGTGGTTCTCCTGCCTCAGCCTCCTGAGTAGCTGGGATTACAGGTGACTGCCACCACGCATGGCTAATTTTCTGTTTTTAGTAGAGATGGGGGTTTCTCCATGTTGGCCAGGCTGGTCTCGAACTCCCGACCTCAGATGATGCTCCCCCCGCCCCACCTTGGCCTCCCAAAGTGCTGGGATTACAGGTGTGAGCCACCGCGCCCAGCCAACATATCCTTTCATTACTATTGTTTTTCAAACTTTAAAGCAAATATTTTATTTGGATCACATAAAAACTAAAGGATCATTACCATGAATGTGCTAAATTTTTGAAAAATAAATTTTTTTTATAAAAAAAGGTACATTTTATTTAAAAGGCATTTGAATGATAGAGGAATATAACAGAGGTAAAACCTGACATTTTAAACTACAGAAGATTGCATGATCTTTTACAAAATAAATAAATTGTTGGCTGGGTGCGGTGGCTGACACCTGTAATCCCAGCACCTTGGGAGGCCAAGGCAGGTAGATCACTTTAGGTCAGGAGTTCAAGACCAGTCCAGCCAACATGGTGAAACCCCACCTCTACTAAAAAATACAAAAATTAGCTGGGTGTGGTGGTACCTGTAATCCCAGCTACTCAGGAGGCTGAGACAGGAGAATTGCTTGAATCCAGGCGGCAGAGGTTGCGGAGAGCCGAGATCACACCACTGCACTCCAGCCTGGGCGACAGAACAAGACTGTTGCAAAAAAATAAATAAGTAAATAAATAAGTAAATTTTTAGCAAGCATTAGATATTTCAGAATAAGACATAATCCTTCCACAATGAAATACTTTCTATGAAAAAAGAAACATCTCAAATAGGGGAGTCCCTTTCCCCCAAAAGACATTTCTTGAAAAACCAGGATTCATTGTGTATGTGTGTATGTGTGTGTGAAATCTTTCACTAGCACTCTGTTTTAGAAAAGAGGTTTTAGAGGAATTTGAAGATTTTGCTTTCCAATATAAATTTCACAGACAACTCTTCTTTCGGCTTTCCTTCCATTTAGGGGTCAAATATAAGAAAAACAAAGTAGAACCACCTAGTGATATAACTTTTATGAAATAACGAATGAAATATCATATGAGCTTCAATAACAAACATCCGTAGTGTTAATGTCAGTCACTGGGATTGAGTCTATAAATCCAGTTCTAGTTGAACTAACTAAACTAAACTGAGCAGTCAATTCAGTCAACCAACAAGTAAGTTGTGTAAAGGTAGAAAAACATGCTTGTTTATTTTCTCTATATTTATTTGCAGGTTCCCTGAACTAACTAAGAATCTAGTTATTTTAAAACATGTAGGCCGGGTGCAGTGGCTCATGCCTGTAATCCCAGCACTTTTGGAGGCTGAGGCAGGCAGATCACCTGAGGTCAGGAGTTCAAGACCAGCCTGGCCAACATGGCGAAACCCTCTGTCTACTGAAAATAGAAAAATTAGCCGTGCGTGGTGGCTCTGTCCAGCCACCGGGAGGCGGAGGTTGCAGTGAGCACAGGTGGAGCCACTGCACTCCAGCCTGGGCAACAGAGCGAGGCTCCGCCTCAAAAAAAAAAATGTAAATATATTTACACATTCGATCAAACAATATGTGAATGCCGATTATGTTCCAGGCATTGTTCTAGATTTGGGGGGTACAGTACAGCCAGTCCGTGCCTTCATAAAGCTTACATCTTAAAGGTAGATAAAGAAAGTAACTAATAAGAATGAAATATAATTTCACGCATGAAGATGACTGTTATGAAGAAAACTAAAGGAGGATAAGGAGCTGGAGAGTAACTGGAAACACTGTGAGGGTGGTTGGACAACCTAAAAGGGATGTCACCTTTCAGGACTGAACCTCCAATTAGTAGTACACTAAATCAAATATTCCATTTATTGACCACATACTCTTATTTAGGGATGTTAATAGGTACCATCTTCACAACAACCACTAGAAATAGTTATGTTATCCCCATTTCACAGATGAAAAAAGGGAGGTTCACAGTAGTTTGTCTAAACAGCTTATCTAAATTTGCATAGATAATAAATGGCAGAGCCTGCATTCAAATGCTATGTAACTCCAAACCCCATGTTCTTTGCACTATATTACACAATTGCTGATAAAAAATCAAAATGGCCTCATTATTTCCAAAGTTATATTTCCACAGTTATAATATTCATTAGCTTTAATAAGTTTTAGCCTTGCATGGTGGCTTGCACCTGTAATCCCAGCACTTTAGGAGGCTGAGGTGGGGATCACTTGAGCCCAGGGTTTCAAGACCACTCTGGGCAACATAATAGGTCCCTGTCTCTATAAAAACTGAAAAACATTAGCCAGGCCTGGTGGCATGTGCGTATAGTCCCAGCTAGTTAGGAGGCTGAGGTGGGAGGATCCTTTGAGCCCAGGAGTTTGAGGCTGCAGTAAGCCATGACTGCACCACTGCACTCCAGCCTGGGTGACACAGCAAGACCCTATTTCAAAAAATAAAATAAGTTTTAATAAACCAAATTCCTATTATATACCATATTCCTGAGAGTCATTAGAAAATAAAAAGAATGATGTTATTAATATTAATTCTTAAAATGTAGTACTTTCAGGATGACTATCATTTCTGAAATAGTTGTATGTGGAAATTCTTAGTAAAATTTGTTCTGTTTCATAAAATATCTTACATTGTTTGAAAGGTACCCCAAACATTTATCACAATAAAAAACAGAGTTTTTTGGGCCAGGCACAGTGGCGCATGCCTGTAATCCCAGCACTTTGGAAGGCTGAGGCAGGCAGATCGCTTGAGCCCAGGAGTTAGAGACCAGCCTTGGTAACATGGTGAAACTCCTAGCTAACAAAAAATTAGCCAGGCATGATGGTGCATGCCTATACCCCAGCTACCTGGGGGGCTGAGGTGGGAGGATCACTTCAGCTCAGGAGCTCGACGCTGCAGTGACTGTGCCACTGTACTCCAATCTGGGCAACAGAATGAGACCCTGTCTCAAAAAATCTTAAGATTTTTTTATCTTGAAATCTTTATATGATCTATAGAACCATAATTTTAACAAATAAAATGTTAAGTACATCATTTCATTCATAAAGATAGAATATTGAAAATCTCTTCAATTTTCTGGTGGTGAACAAACACATTAAGGCAGAATTCTACCAACACATTTTTTTCTCAAAAACATCTCTATTTATTTCTTTGTTTTTTTTTTTATTTTTCCTAGGTCATACAAATTGGTCCTATTAACAACCGAAGAAAGGAGAACAAACTTAGGTTATGGACTTGAAAGGATAAAGCCAAGCAAAAGATTGAAGTGCTGCCTGTGTGGACAGCACCTCACTGCTCCTTCCTCACCAAGACAATACTGAGGGGAAGAAAGGCCAGTTGACTGAATCTAAATTATGCTACCAAAAATCTCTAAGGGGGGAAAATACAATGAAATAATAAATTAACACTGGGAAAAGTCAACAAAAATACCCTTAAGGAAGAAAGTCTCAGGCCCAGAACCAAGACCAAAGGTGCTGCCAGGATTTGCCACGTACCTTCATGTGGGAGTGGGACGCACCCTTGGCTGGGTGGAGGATGCCTAGCATAGGGAATTGGCTGGGGTCTTGGGAAGAGGGCTGACCCCTGAACCCTATAAGGACAGCACTCAGCCCCGCAAGGCTTGGCCTCCTGTGGTACGTTCTCTTCAACCTCATCCCACTTCTATGCCTTATCTCAGTCAACTGCAAATTGGGGGAATTATTGTTGCAGTATAGAATTTACATGTTATGGAACTTGACTAGAGTTAGGTTATGCAAAGTAAGTAAAAGTACCTGACAGCACTTACTAAGTAAAAGTATTTACATATAAAGGTGAAGTAAACTTTGACTAAGTACAAGTAGTTAATTAGCAGCAATTGGGAAGTGAAGAGAGGGAAGATGGAAGGAACGAATGTTCGAATGCTAATCATTGCTCAGAACATGAAATCAATACATGATGGAACATGTAGGTAATAGTTAAAGAAGCATGAAATGAGGCAGGACATGGTGGCTCACACCTGTAATCCCAGCAGTTTGGGAGGCCGGGGTGGATGGATCACAAGGTCAGGGGTTCGAGACCAGCCTGGTCAAGATGGTGAAACCCCCGTCTCCACTAAAACAAAAATTAGGCGCAGTGGCAGGGGCCTGTAATCCCAGCTACTCGGGAGGCTGAGACAGGAAAATCGCTTGAACCCGGGAGGCAGAGGTTGCAGTGAGCTGAGATCACACCACTGCACTCCAGCCTGGGCAAAAGGGTGAGACCCCGTCTTAAAAAAAAAAAAAAAAAAAAAAAAAAGAAGCGTGAAATGACTTCAACATCTTAAGGGTTTTCATAATCTCCTCTCAACCCCCACAGGATCTTTTAGTAATGATTACTTTTGTAAAGAATAAACAGTAGCCAAACTGGAGCAATACCCTCTATTTCACTTCAATTAATTGTTCTTCTGTTAAATTCAATTAAATTGTATACTTATTTGCTTCAAATTAGCAAAAATGTTATTATCTCATCCTTATAAAATAATTTATGTTTGTCATATGCTATGAATATGCCAACGTATAAGCATAAACAGATGTCAACATTGATGCTTACCAACTATTAACACTAGGAACTTCTGACTGATGAGATGAGGATAATTTGTGACTTTCTTCCCCATTATTTTTGACATTGTTTCAGTTTTATAATAAATATGTATTATATATAAGAATAATTACTTTAAAAAAAAAAAAGACAAGATCTTGCTCTGTTGCCCAGGCTGGAGGGCAGTAGCACTATCTCGGTTCACTGCAACCTCCATCTCCTGGGCTCAGGCAATCCTCCCACCTTAGCCTCCAGAGTAGCTGGGACTACAGGCAGGCACCTCCACGCCCCGCTAATTTTTTTGTATTTTTTGTAGTCATGGGGTTTCGCCATGTTGCCCAGGCTGGTCTCGAACTCCTGAGCTGAAGCAATCCTCCTGCCTCAACCTTCCAAAGTGCCAGGATTACAGGCATGAGCCACCATGTCTGGCCCAAGAATAATTACCTTTAAAAGCCAATTAAGCCGGGCGCAGTGGCTCACACCTATAATCCCAGCACTTTGGGAGGCCGAGGCAGGCTGATCACCTGAGGTCAGGAGTTCGAGACCAGCCTAGCCAACATAGTGAAATCCCATCTCTACTAAAAATACAAAAATTATCCACGCATGGTGGTGCACGCCTGTAGTCCCAGCTACTCAGGAGGTTGAGGCAGGAGAATCTCATGAACCCAGGAGGCAGAGGTTGCGGTGAGCCGAGATCGCGCCACTGCACTCCAGACTAGGCGACAAAGTGAGACTCTGTCACACACACACACAAAAAGTCAATTAAAATAAAGTATAAATAAAACTAGCAGTTAAGTTATTCCACCATTAACTCTGACTCTAACTCTGACCGTAATCAAAGGTCAGATATATTTAAGCAGTGTCATGTTAGAAAGGTGCATGAATTAAGAAAAACTTCATTACTTAACCTAGACTATTTAACCTCTTTTGTTAGTGAACTAATACTTATAATGGTTAAGATTAAAATCAAGGAAATATGTTATTCTAAGTCATAAAATAAGAAATATATTTTATATGTGTAAGAACCCATAATTTCTATAATATTTATTAAGCGTGAAGTTCTTTCCTAGGCACTGAAGATGTAGCAATACATGACACCTTTCTTGTGGAATACATTATATAGTCTTATATTATATATATTATATACTTTATTATATTATATGTAATATTTGTATATAATATATTCTATATAATATAATTATATATATATATATATATATATATATATATATAGCTTTTTGGTGTTTTTTGTTTTAAGACAAGGTCTCACTCAGTTGTCCAGGCTGGAATGCAGTGGCAAGATCATGGCTCACTGCAGCCTCTATCTCCTGGGCTCAAGTAATCCTCCCACCTCAGCTGCCTGAGTAGCTGGGACTGCAGGTTCATGCCACACCACCTGGCAAATTTTTTAAATTTTTACTAGAGACAGGGCTTTCCTATTTTGGCCAGACTGGTCTCAAACTCCTGGGCTCAAGCAATCCTCCTGACTTGGTCACCCAAAGTGCTAGGATTGCAGGCATAAGCCACCACATCCAGCCCAGGGAACATGTATTTTAACCCATAGCAAATACAGTTGAATTTTTAAGAGAGAGTGAGAGAGAGAGAGACAGAGAGAGAGGGAGTGTGTGTGTGTGTGCGTGTGTGTGTGTGTGTGTGTGCGAGCGCGCGCGCGCGCTGGAAAGAGCCACATCTCTACTTGTTTATTTGCATAGATATTTCTAACTTAAAACAGGTTTTTATTCTCAAACATTGCTGACAGGAGTATAAAATGGTTCACTCTTATAAAATACAAATACCTATCAAAAATACAAATGAACTAATCTGTTGACACCAGAGCCTCCTTCTAGGGATTTTTCCTACAGATATAATTGTACATGTGGGGCCAGATGTGGTGGCTCATGCCTGAAGCCAAGATCTCACCACTGCACTCCAGCCTGGGCAACAGAGCAAGATTCCATCTCAAAAAAATAATAATAATAACAATAATAATTGCGCATGTAGAAAATTACATAGGTGCTAGGATGTTCCCTGTAGTGTTACAGTATTAGTAAAATAATGGAAAGAGACTAAATGCCCAGCAAGAGAAGGTTAAATAAACTATGGTACATCCACAGGTATAGACACAATAAAAGCAAGTGTATTGATATAGGATAATCTCCAGGAAACATGATTTAAAATAAAATACAATGCAAAACATTCAGTTTAGGTAACCCTAAAAGTAAGAATCAAAACTATAGGCCGGGCGTGGTGGCTCATGCCTGTAATTCCGGCACTTTGGGAGGCTCAGATGGGCAGATCACCTGAGGTCAGGAGTTTGAGACCAGCCTGACCAACATGGAGAAACCCTGTCTCTGCTAAAAATACAAAATTAGCCAGGCATGGTGGCGCATGCCTGTAATCCCAGCTACTTGGGAGGCTGAGGCAGAAGAATCGCTTGAACCCAGGAGGCAGAGGTTACAGTGAGCCGAGATCACGCCACTGCACTCCAGCCTGGGCAACAAGAGTGAAACTCCATCTCAAAAAAAAAAAAAAACAAAAAAACAAAAACACAAGAATCACAACTATAAACCTTCTAGAAGAATATCTTCAAAACTAAGGGTAAGCAAAGATTTCTTAAAGAGGACATAAAACACATTAACCATAAAGAAAATAAATTAACTAATTTGACTTAAATAAAACTTAAAACTACTTATCAAAAGATAGCATTATGATAATAAAATGGCAAACCACAGGCTGGGAGAAAATATCAGCAATGTATACATCTCACAAATACTTGTATTTAGAATATACAAAGAAATCCTTTAAATCACTGAGGAAAAGACTAACACTCCAATAAAAACAAAGGAAAGGCCGGAACCTATAGTTCACATAGATATCTAAATGTCTACTAAGCATAGAAAACACATCTTAACTCATCAGGGAATTGCAAATTCAAATCACAATCAGCTGCTACTACATACTCACCAAAATGGCTAAAATTTAAAAGACTGGCCAGGCACAGTGACTCACACCTGTAATCCCAGGACTTCGGGAGGTCCAGGCGGGTGGATCAATTGAGGTTAGGAGTTCAAAACCAGCCTGGCCAACATGGTGAAACCCCGTCCCTACTAAAAATACAAAAATATTAGCCGGTCATGGTGGTGGGTGCCTGTGATCCCAGCTACTCAGGAGGCTAAGGCAGGAGAATTGCTTGAACCCAAGATGCGGAGGTTGCAGTGAGCTCAGATCATGCCACTGCACTCCAGCCCGGGCAACAGAGCAAGACTCTGTCTCACACAAAAAAAGACTTGCATTATCAAGAGTTGGTGCAGATAATTAAAACTCTCAAACACTGCTACTACAGTCTAATCTGGCAACATTCCAGAAAACCAGCAGCTTACTAAAGCTAAATATACATCTACCCTGTGACCCGTTAGTTTTTCACTTGTAGGTATATACCAAGAGAAATCAATACGCATGTCAAACAAAAGGCATTCAGAAGAGAGTTCAGTTTTATTCACAAAAGGCAAAAACTAAAAACAACTCAAATGTTGATCAATAGCAATGTGAATACTTTGTGGTATATTCATAAAATGTAATACAATATACACAGTAAAAACACATCACTGATACACACAAAATTGAATGAACATTACAAGCCTTCAATTAGTCCAAGCATGGTGGCTCACGTCTGTAATCTCAGCACTTTGGGAGGCTGAGGTGGGCAGATTGCTGGAGACCAGGAGTTCAAGACAAGCCTGGCCAACATGGCAAAACCTCGTCTCTACCAAAAATACAAAAAAAATAGCCAGGCATGGTGGCGTGTGCCTGCAATTCCAGCTACTTGGGAGGCTGAGGCACGAGAATCGCTTGAACCTTGGAGGCAGAGGTTGCAGTGAGCGGAGATCATGCCACTGCACTCCAGTCTGGGCAACAGAGTGAGACTCCTTCTCAAAAAAAAAAAAAAAGCAAGCCTTCAATTAAACAAAAAAGTCAGGCATAAATCAGAACACACTAGGCCGGGTGAGGTGGCTCACATCTGTAATCCCAGCACTTTGGGAGGCCAAGGCAAGCAGATTAACTTGAGCCCAGGAGTTCAAGATCACCCTGGTCAACATGGTGAAACCCAGTCTCTACCAAAAATACAAAAATCAGCCAGGTGTCATGGCAAGCACCTGTAATCGCAGCTACTCAGGAGGCTGAGGCACAAGAATCACCTGAACCCTGGAGACGGATGTTGCAGTGAGCCAAGGTTGCACCACTACACTCTATCCTGGATGACAAAGCAAGACTCCATCTCAAAGAAAAAAAAAAAAGAACATGCTATATGGTTCTACTTAAAGAAGTTAAGCTAGCATATAGTATCAGAAGTCAAAAATAGTGGTTATCTCTGGAGGAGGTAGTATTGCTTGGGAATAGAAAAAGAAACTTTCTGGAGTGATGGAAATATGCTGTATCTTAAACTGAGTAGTGTCTATCCAAGGTGTCTATATTTAAAAAAATAATAATAATCGAACCCAGCCTGGGCATCATGGAGAGACCCCATCTCTACAAAAACTACAAAAATTAGCTGAGCGTGATGGCATGTGCTTGTAGTTCCAGCTATTCAGGAGGCTGACATGGGAGGATCGATTCAGCCCAGACTGCAGTGAGCCATAATCGCACCACTGCACTCCAGCCTGGGCAACAGAGCAAGACTTGTAATGTTTGTAATGCAAAGAAATGATAAATGCTTGAGGTGATGGATACCCCATTTATCCTGATGTGATTATTATATACTGTATGCCTCTATCAAAAAATCTTACATGCCCCATAAATATATATCTACTATGCCGGGCACAGTGGCTCACGCCTGTAATCCCAGCACTTTGGGAGGCCGAGGCAGGTGGATCACGAGGTCAGGAGATCGAGACCATCTGGCTAACACAGTGAAACCCTGTCTCTACTAAAAATACAAAAAATTAGCCGGGCGTGGTGGTGGGCCCCTGTAGTCCCAGCTACTCGGGAGGCTGAGACAGGAGAATGGCATGAACCCGGGAGGCAGGGCTTGCAGTGAGCCGAGATCATGCCGCTGCACTCCAGCCTGGGTGACAGAGCGAGACTCCATCTCAAAAAAAAAAAAAAAAAAAAAAAAAAAAAAAAAATATATATATATATATATATGTCTACTACGTACCTATAAAAATTTAAAATAAAAAAAAAAGTTCATGGCCAGGTGCGGTGGCTCACACCTGTAATCCTAGCACTTTGAGAGGCCAAAGCAGGCGGATCACTTGAGGTCAGGAGTTTGAAACCAGCCTGGCCAACACGGTGAAACCCCATCTCTACTAAAAATACAAAAAAAAATTAGCCGGGCATGGTGGCAGGTGCCTGTAATGCCAGCTACTTAGGAGGCTGAGGCAGGAGAATTGCTTGAATCTGGGAGGCGAAGGTTGCAGTGAGCCGAGATCATGCCACTGCACTCCAGCCTGGGCAACAGAGCAAGACTCTGTCTCAACAACAACAAAAAAAAAAGTTTAAAGAGGAAGACTATTTTGCTTGGTTTTGAATAGAATATCTCTGGAAAGATACAAAAAAGAACTGCTAAGATGGATTTCATCTGAGGAAGAGAATAAGGTGGGATGGGCACAGAGGAAAGGAGATTTATATTGTGGACCGTTAGACACTCAAGGAAAAAGACCCAGTTTATGTCCCAACATAATCATACAGAGGACCTTCCTGCTCTCTCTCTCTCTCAAAACTGTCCTGGTTTGTATGATGAATTATACGGTCCACCTACTTATGTATCTTATGGATTTAGTATTATGTGAATGTATTACCTCTTCGAAAAATAAATAAAATAAAAACTAAGAATAATACGGTGCCTTTTGACAGCAATGTAAGAGCAATTTCTCCTTGTGTAATTTTGTGTTTTCTTAGTTTTTAAAGGAGGAGATAAATATCTAAGGAACAATGCTTGTAAACTTGATTTAATCCATCCTGCACACTTGGGCCAAACTAATCTTACGAAGCACAGCTTTCATCATATCACTCCCCTTCTGAAACATCTTCTGAACTTCACTTTGAGCAAACAACCTCCCAACTTCTTTACTTGACCTTGAAGACTTGCCAAAGTAAGGCCTAAAGCAACCTTCCCCTTATGTCCTGAAACCTTAACTCTCAGCGCCTCTGTGACTGGCCTATTGTTTTCCCTAAGACCGCCTGATTCCTTCCTGCTTCTCTGCATTTGTTTTCCACTGTGTGATCTCCCCTGGGAATGTCTAGGAATGTCTTAATCCATCCACATTCTATCTATCTTTCCAGGCACCATGCATCTCAAGTCCCACCGCTTCCTTAAAGTCCTACCCTGAACCACATTTATACTTTATATATATTTTTTAATTTTGTTTTGTTTTGAGACAGAGTCTCGCTCAGTCACCCAGGCTGGAGTGCAGTGGCGCAATCTGGGCTCACAGCAACCTCCACCTCCCAGGTTCAAGTGATTCTCTTGCCTCAGCCTCCCAAGTACCTGGGATTACAGGCACCTGCCACCACACTCAGCTAACTTTTGTATTTTTAGTAGAGACAGGGCTTCACCATGTTGGCTAGGCTGGTCTCGAACTCCTAACCTGAAGTGACCCACCCACCTCAGCCTCCCAAAGTGCTGGAATTATAGGCGTGAGCCACCGCACTCTGCCTATACATCATCAAGTTACAATAAAAACTTCTCTCCAACAGATTCAGTGTAAGCCATAAATAGATTCTGAAGATGTTATTAAGTTTTTTTAAATTGTGAGGAGCATTTATTGCACTGGAAACTAGGACACAGAGTTGAATTCTTGGCTATCCCTACCATGGAAGTTCTCACAGAAACATCTAACAACTGCCACCATATCAACTTGCCCTCATACATCTGCCACTCTCAGCTGCTTGCAAAGAACTGCCTTCGTTGTCAACATCACATATATAGACATACACACACACAAACACACACAGACAGACACACACTCCCAAGCCCCAAGCCTCTAGGATCATCCAACTCATGAGTTTTCCAATGTTGTTAATCCTCAAGAAGAAAATTAAAGATGCTTTACCTTCCAATCTGATGTATTATCTGCAACATAACATACCACTAATTTTATTCAGTTTTCTGTTATTTTTATTTTCTCATTTTTCCATGCATATACATCTAATCTAGGGAAGGAAAAAATTCCTTACAGAGTAACTTATTATGGTACCTAATACAACATTACACATATGGTCAATACGTCTTTGTTCATTTGATTGCTCAGTATAATTCTTCTTGATGTTTAACTGTGCCAATATTTACAGTTGAATTATTACTCAGAACACATATCACATATGTCTGAGTCATTTACTTTCCAGAATCTCTCATACTTTGATTTCATTCCCAATCTCTTCAAATTCTGTATGCATTAAAAAAAGATGATAGATAGATAAACAGATGATAGAGAGAGAGAGAGATGGATGCAGGCATGGTTGCATGTGCCTTTGGTCCCAGCTACTCAGGAGGCTGAGTGGGGAGGACCACCTGAGCCCCGGGATGTTGAGGCTGCTGTGAGCCATGATTACACCAGCCTGGGCAACAGAGTGAGACCTTGTCTCAAAAAAAAAAAAAAAAAAAAAAAAAAAAATATATATATATATATATATATATATATGCCACATAGCACAGTACCAGATATTCATTTACTCATTTACTCAACATAATTGTTTACTAAGGGCCTGTTCTATGCATAAAGTAGTGACCAAATCAAGGACCACGGTCTTTCCTATGAGGCTTACATCTTACTGAGGCCCATTTTAGGCAGTCAGTGAACAGACAGCAGTGAATTAGAGCCAGAACCCCAAACTCTTTGAGTGCTCTCCCACTCTTTCAAATGGACTATTTACTACATCGTAACAAATATCAAGCAGCATGCAGAAGCAAGGTGCAAATACAACAGACATCAGGATCATTCTGCAGGTATCATGGGGAGTGGAAAGAGTACAGGCTACAGAAGTAAAGAAAACCTGGATTCAAAGTTGGGCTTTAGTACTTTACATATCAAGTTATGTAAGCCTCTAAGCTTCAGTTATAGAATGTGTCAATACGAGGCTCGGCATGGTGGCTCACACCTGTAATCCCAGCACTTTGGGAGGCCGAAGTGGGCGAATCACTTGAGGTCAGGAGTTCAAGACCACTCAACATGGTGAAACCCCGTCTCTACTAAAAATACAAAAAAAATTAGCCAGGCATGGTGGCACATGCCTATAATCCCAGCTACTGGGGAGGCTAAGGCAGGAGAATCACTTGAACCCAGGAGGTGGAGGCTGCAGTGAGCCGAGATTGTGCCACTGCACTCCAGCCTGGGTGACAAGAGTGAGGACTCTATCTGAAAAAAAAAAAAGAAAAGAAAAAAAAAGAGTTTGTCAAAACATACCTGGAAGTACCAATGTGAGGATCAAAATACATATGTAAAATGTCTATCATCTGTCTGGCATAGTGTAGGAATTCAAAATAGATTCTCTCTTTGTCCGTAATCAAATATAATCTAATCTGACAACACCACAGCATACGTAAAAGGCTGGATTTTAGATTTAGTAAAGGTCAACAGTAATTAGTTTACCCAAAATCACATGATAAAGACGGTTTTTTTTTTTTTTTTGGAGACAGAGTCTTGGTCTGTCGCCAGGCTGGAGTACAGTGGCGTGATCTCAGCTCACTGCAACCTCTGCATCCTGGGTTCAAGCGATTCTCCTGCCTCAGCCTCCCAAGTAGCTGGGACTACAGATGCACACCACCACGCCCAGCTAATTTCTGTATTTTTAGTAGAGACGGGGTTTCAGCATGTTGGCCAGGATGGTCTCGATCTCTTGACCTCATGATCTGCCTGCCTCGGCCTCCCAAAGTGCTGGAATTACAGGCATGAGCCACAACGCCAGGCCATAAAGACTTCTTTCATAAAATTTTCCCTACAGTATACTTTTTCCTTTTTTTTTTTTTTTTGAGACAGAGTCTCTCTTTCACACCCAGGCTGGAGGGCAGTGGTGCAATCTTGGGCCACTGTAACCTCCACCTCCCGGGTTCAACCAATTCTCTTGCTTCAGCCTTCCGGGTGGCTGGGATTACATGCATGTGCCACGATGCCCAGCTAATTTTTGTATTTTTAGTAGAGACGGGGTTTCACCATGTTGGCCAGGCTGGTCTTGAACTCCTGACCTTAAGTGATCCGCCCGCCTCAGCCTCCCAACGTGCTGGGATTACAGGCGTGAGCCACCATGCCCAGTCCCTATACTATACATTTAGATATGCCCAGTTTTGAATAAAAATGACATTATTATAACACTATAGGAAAAAAAGTTGCACTTTGAGTTTTTTCATTATAACACTAGTCTATATATTTGGAATATCACTCGATTTCAAGAGAGAAATATATGAGATTATCACTAAAAATATATTTGCATATAATAATGTATTTTCTCATCAAACTATTAAGTAAGGTAATAAATCCACAAGCAATAAGTTCAGCCACTGTTCCTTACCTCCCCAACCACATTTGGCCCCACTTCCTTATTAGTTCACAATAATCCAGTGACACTGCCCTTCTTTTGGCTCTTCAAAACTACCAGACTCTCCAGCATCTAGATGACATGCAATACCATGCATTACTCTCTAATGCTAATCGGCTAATGCTTAACAGGATCCCACCCTAAATATATGCCCTCAGAGATGCCTTCCCTGACCGACAACCCTGATAAACTTGGGCTCCACCGCGTAGGGTGATGTGGAGAAGCCTCCTGATGTCAGAGAAGCCTGAGTTCCAATCACTCATCTGACAACATGGAGTTATGCTACAGCACAGATACATGGCTGTGCAGTTACAGAAAAGTTCATATGCAATGGATATAATTGGCAATAGTGTGTGTGCACTGGCTGGTTAAAAATATTAGCCAAGGCTTTCAGAAGTGCTTTCCCGTACAATCTCTGCTGAGAGGCTTAGGGAATTGTTAATATATTGCTGATAAGATAAGGGAAAACAACTCTCTTAAGGGGGACTCCCAGCATGGCCTGATTCTTCTGATTCTTTTCTTTTTTTTTTTGGAGATGGAGTTTCGCTCTTGTCACCCAGGCTGGAGTGCAATGGCGCCATCTCAGCTCACTGCAATCCCTGCCTCCCAGGTTCAAGTGATTCTCCTGCCTCAGCCTCCAGAGTAGCTGGGATTACAGGAATGCAACACCACATCTGGCTAATTTTGTATTTTTAGTACAGATGGGGTTTCTCCATGTTGATCAGGCTGGTCTCGAACTCCCGAACTCAGGTGACCCGCCCACCTTGGCCTCC